>NC_000022.11:37194412-37345927 GCF_000001405.40 Homo sapiens | reverse complement strand
AATGGGAAAAGAGGGAAACAGCAGACATAAACAATGGGACAAAGAAAACACTCCCTGCCAAGGGTAAAAGCAAGGAGGCCATGGCCGGGTGTGGTGGCTCATGCCTGTAATCCCAGCACTTTGGGAGGCTGAGGCAGGCAGACCATGAGGTCAGGAGATCAAGACCATCCTGGCCAATATCGTGAAACCCTGTCCCTACTAAAAATACAAAAATTAGCTGGGCGTGGTGGCACGCACCTCTAGTCCCAGCTACTCCGGAGGCTGAGGCAGGAGAATTGCTTGAACCTGGGAGGCAGAGGCTGCAGTGAGCTGAGATTGTGTCATTGCACTCCAGCCTGGGTGACAGAGTGAGACTTCGTCTCAAAAAAAAAAAAAAAAAAGACAACAACAAAAACAAAAAACAAGGAGGACATGGCCCTTTGCAGGGGAGCAGGTGTGCCTCAGGGCTGTGGAGCACCTACTGTGTGCCAGGGCGTTTGACTCCCTGGCAGGGGTTGTTATTAATGCATGTTATGCATAAGGAACTAAGGCTCAGAGAAGTGGAGCGACTTGCTGAGATCACACAGATAGGGAGAGAACCCAGATCATCCTGGGTCCAAAGCCTGTATACCACTTCCCAGCGTCACCTTGCAGAGCATCTGGGAAGGCTTCCTGGAGGAGGTGGCTTCTGAAGGTGATGGGGAGGGAGGGGCAGAAAGGAAACTGCACAATGACAGTTGAAGAGGAGAAAAGACTGGGGATGGCGAGGAGGAGGCCAGTGTGTCAGGATGAAAGGTGCTCACAGATTGGTGGGCCCAGAAGGGGGCACAGGAAGGTAGTGGGCCAAGTGGACATCTGTGATGGGGGCAGTGCCTGGTGCAGTGGGACCCAGAGGAGACAGGCTTGCTCTGCAGGGACTGACGGGAGCGTGGCCCCTCAGGGGCAGGTGCCTGGGCTGGCTCCCAGTGGGAGAGTGGTGCTGACAGCAGGGAAGAGAACGGGGAGGGCCCCCTGGCAGAGCAGGGGGGATTGTGCTCTGGGCATGGAGGCGGCATGGGATGATGATGCCCATTGGGGGAGCTCGCCCCTCAGCGCCCCCTGCGCACCTGAGGAGCAGGGTGAGAGCAGGCGTGGACGGGGATGGGGTGCCTGTGGCAGAGGGGATGCGCATGGTGGTGCCAGGACAGGAGAAGGAGTTTGCAGAGGTCAGCCTTCGAGGACCGCAGAGGTCAGCCATGCTGGGGATCAGGCTTCCCCTGAGGGCCACGTGCATGGAGTCTCTTGTGGAAGGGGGGTAGAGACAGTGTGGCCACAGTGGGTCACAGCATCCCCCTCCTCCTGCCACATCAGAGGCACCAGGATGAGGGCCGGGAGGAATGTGTTCCCAAGACTCGAGGCTGGCACTGGGCCAGGACCAGGAAGGCCACCTGTGTGGGGGCAGCAGGGGGGCCTCTGGGTGCCCTGAGCCTGGGTCTTGCTGCCCCTCCTGTCCACTCCCAGTGCCCTGTCCACCTGGCGCTGAGAGCCGGCGATGCTGGGGGTTTGGGATGGGGTCAGGGCTCCTGGGTGTATGTGCGCATGTAGATTTGTGTGTGAGTGTAGGAGATATCTGTGGGAGCAGTGTGTGTAGGACTTGTGTGAGTGTGGTGACTGGGCTGTGGGAGGGTTGGTGGCTGCCACCATTGCGTTGTAGGTGGGTGTGGGCAGGTGGGCATGGGCAGGTGGGTGTGGGCAGGGGGCATGGGCAGGTGTGCATGGGCAGGTGGGGTTGGGCACGGGGCATGGGTGGGGGCATGGGCAGGTGGGCATGGGCAGGTGGGCATGGGCAGGCGGGCATAGGCAGGGGGCCATGGGCAGGTGGGGTTGGGCAGGGGGCATGGGTGGGGGCATGGGCAGGTGGGCATGGGCAGGTGGGCGTGGGCAGGCGGGCATAGGCAGGGGGGCATGGGCAGGTGGGCGAGCAGTGCTGTAAGCCCTCGGCCCCTCCACCCACTGCCCTGTCCCACTCCCTCTTTGACAGCGGCCTGGCCTAAGGGATCCAGGGGGGTGTGAGGGGCATCAGGAGGAATAGCACTGGAGGAAACTGGGGAAGATGAGGGCCAGGAGGGTTGGGAGAGCTGGAGAGGGTGTGGGGAGGATTAGAAAGGGTTTGGGAGCTGGAGGGGCTAGATAGGGCTGGAGGGACTGAGGTGGGTGAACACTGGAGATGAGTTGGGGAGGCTGGGGTCCGGGGGGGGTGGGTCTGGGAGCCAAGGGGTGGGTGCCAGCCAAGACCGCTCTCTGCACTCCCTCCTGCTGGTGGCTGGCAGCCTGGTGGGTGTTGATCATCCTCACGGCTGAGCAGCGGGAGCACTGAGGAGGGAGCAAGACAGGCTCGGCTCACAGCAATGAGGGAAGCTGGCCAAGGTGGAGGCGGAGGAGGCGTGAAACCGACAGTGGAGCCCAGGCCGGGGGCTGAGAGAGAGACAGAAACCTCAGACTGGAGGCAGCCTGGAGTGGGAGAGGCGGGCATCGGCCAGCAGATGGGAACCCTCACAGCAGACCAAGAAATGGGAGGGTGTAGTGCCCATCTCTAGGTGGGGAAACTGAGGCTCAGGGAGGGCAGGTTGTTCCAAAGCCACCCATTCGGAGCCCAGGGGCATAGGGGCGGGGGAGCAGGGAGGAGCGGACCTGGGACACAGACCGTTGCAGCTGGGGCCCCCACCTGCCTCACTTATGGGATTCCTTGGCCAGAGGAAGGAGCTGGGCTGAGGTTCAGGAGCCTGCAGTTGAGTTTCTGCCTTCCAGTCGCCGCCCTGCTGTGGCCTCACTGTGTGTCCTCGGCAAGTTCCGGTCCCTCTGAGGGCCTCAGTCTCTCTGTGAAATTGAAGAGGCCTGGGACCAGACCATCTGCCATATTCCTTTCTGTTTCTGTGACTTGAGCCCCATGGCACCCACTCTGCCAGCATTCATGGGGTGCCGAGTGGGCCCAGGTAAGCTGTCCCTTAGCTGCTGTGTGACCTTGGGCAAGGCTCTCAGGCTCTCTGAGCTACCATTTCTCCATCTTCCAATGAATGGGGGCTTGAAACAGATCTACCTGTCTGGGCCTGGCCCTGGGTAGCCCTGCCCCTTCCCTCCCCTCCCCGCTTCCCTTTCCTGTGCCCACCCCCCCACCCACACCTTGCTCCCCAGCTCTTGAAGCTGAGCCTCCTCAGGGGCCCACAGACTGGCTCTGATGAAAGGTTCATTTTCCTTTCTTTGTGCAGGTGACAAATTCTACCGCCAGTAATCACTTGTGAAAAATCAACAGTGAAGCCCAGTGGCTCCCGGTCCCCCGGAGAAATCTGAGTGGATTTCCAGAAGAACAAGGTGGAAAAACCCAGGGGCAGCAGTGGGACCCAGGAGTGGGGGGGACCTGGGAGGGAGGACTTCGCTCAGCAGAGCACAGGACCGGGCTGCACCTCGGGGGAGGGCCCCACTGCACCCCACTCCTCCCATTGCATCGTGGAGCTTTTGCACAGGATGATCCCTCTGCCTGGAATGGCCCTCCTTCTCCCCCTCCTCTGCAAGAGGACAGGGGGTGGGCAGGAGACACTGGGGAACAGGTGCTGCTAGAGGGAGGCTAGAGAAAGGGCAATAATGGGAGAAAGGGGCAGACGGGCCTATTCTGGAGGGCTGAAATGCTGGGGAGGAGCTGGATCATTTGCAGGACAATAGGGAGCCATGGAAGGTTTTTGAGCAGGGGATGGATATGTGGAAAGCTCTGCTTCACTCCGCTTCTCCGTGCCTCTTCAAGTCTTCAGGGGAAGACTTGCTCGGTCTCCAGGGACCCAAGTCCTCATCCGGTCTTTGGGGAGGGGTGTAAAGAATGCATGGAGGTGTGGCGGTTGTTGGGAGGCAAGGGGACAGGTTGGGGTGACTAACACAGATGGCAGGCCACCCCTGTGCCTGTCTAATGTCAGGGTCAGGGCTCCTACAGGGCAGTGCAAGTGATGAGTGGGTGAGCCAGGCTTGGAACCCAGGTCTGTCTGACCAGAGGGCCCCAGCAGGAGGAGGATCCTGGTAGCGACCTGCCTGTGGGGAGAATTCCCCTAAATTATCTCATTTGTGCCTCTTCCTCATTCTGAGGAGGGGCTCTGTCCTCACTGACCCATTTTGCAGATGAGGAAACCAAGGTTCAGAATTGTCAGGGGTTTGAGTTCACCAACGAAACCAGTATTTCTGGCTTCTGAACCAGTGCTTGGTACATGGCAGGTGCTTAACGAAGGGATGGGAGTCAGGCTTTGAGGATTTGGACTCTAGAATGAGTCCTCTCCAAATAGCACCCAAGAGATTTCTCTGAGATGGGGCTGTTCTCAGACAGTGTGAAAATCCCAGAAATAGAACCATCCGGGAAACCTTCAACCACGTTGGAAATATGGCCCAGTGAGGGAAAGTGGCTTGCCCAGGGCCGCACAGCACACCAGTGACAGAGCAGGGACAAGGACCCAGTGCTTTAGACCTTCCCTCCTCTAGACCCAGGCGGGTGAGCACAGTGGGCTTGGCCCAGAGCTGGAGAGGAAAGGCAGGTACAGCCCACCTAGCTCCGTCCTCCACAGCTGCACAGGAGGGCCTGAGATAGGCAAGGGGAGAGGATGGCTGGCCACAGTGGTGGAGCAGCAGGACTCCAGAGGGGACAGCAGTAAAGTGGGAGGGACTGAACCCCTTCAGCTCCTGCCCTACGCCCCTGCCATGCGAGCCTCAGAGGCCCACCCGACCCAGTCAAGACTGCACCTCCCCTCCCATGCTGCCACATCACCACTAAGCACACAATTTCCATGGTGACCCCTGCCCCCTGGCTGCTGGTGAGGTCGGTGGGTGCCCCTCATGGTCTGGCTCACTTGCTGTCTCTCCCTCTTTCTCTCCATCCCTCTTTATCCCTCCCCTTCTCCCTCCCTCTCTCTATCTCTCTCAGTCCAATCTCTGCCCTGCTGCCCTCCATCTGTCTATTTCTCTCCTAGACTTCGGCTTCAGACAGATGTGGTTTCAAAGCTGCAGTCCCGGCCTTCCTGAGCTGTGTGACCTTGGTTACGTCCACGTGCCCATTGCCTCGCCTGGGCCTCACTTTTCTCATCTGTATCATGGAGTTGGCACCACCGGCTCTGCCCTCAAGGTTTGCCGCGCCTGCAGAGGCCCCTGAGCATTCAGCAGGTGCTCACTCAGCAGGAGCTGCCAGACGTTGAATGTGTGATGGGAATCATTGGATGCTGCCGCCTCTCCGCCCACCCGCCACCTGACACTGCCTCCTGGCTCTCCATCACTGCCCAGGAGTCGGGCAGCCTCCCCGCTCCCTGCTATTTCTTCTCTGCACCTGACGCCGCCTCCTGGCTCTCCATCATTGCCCAGGAGTCGGGCAGCCTCCCCACTCCCTGCTATTTCTTCTCTGGAGCTTCCCAGGAGGTTAATAGCAGCTTCTCACCAGGATATTTGGCTTTTTAAGGAATCTCCTTGCCTCTTTCTTCTCTGTGAGGATATTCTCAGGATGGTTGCGGTGGAGAAGGGAAGGAAGGAGACTCTCGAGGCATTTGCCAACTAAGGGGGGCACTTAGGGGTAGGTGGGGGGGGCCAGTTCCGGGCAGAACTTGGGGCAGACAGTGCCCTGTTTCCAGAACAGCTCCCAGTGCCGGGCTGGGCTGGGCTTAAATGCAGTGGGAGAAGCTCAAGGGTGGGGTGGGGTCACAGGCTCCACTTGGAATGGGCCAGGTCATTTGACTATGGGGGCATTTCTGAGCCTGGTGGGGCCTCAGTCTCCCCTCCTGGAAGGTGGGCCTGATGATCCATGCCAGCCTGTAAAGGAAGGGAAAGAGTTTTGCTGAGCTGCAGAAGGAGGTGCAGACAAGGCGAGGGGCTGGGTGTTGGGGGAGGCCAGCTGAGCGCCCAGGACCCCTCTGGCCCCACCCCAGGTCCTTGGGCTCCAACTGCTCTCAGCCCTGCCCTGAGCTCAGGAATGGGCCCAGGCCTGAGAAGGAGGTCAAAACTCTGCAGCCCTTCCACTACTACTTCGGGGGGCTCAGCACAGCTCCTCTGGGCTCAGGTCCCCAGGCCTTTCCCTGATGTAACCCCCCAGTCAGGCCCGCACAGTAGGGGAGGTCCACCTCTTATGTGTGTGTTTTAAATTGCGGTAAAATGTACGTAACATGAAATTTACCATTTTAGCTCTGTAAGCATACAGGTCCGTGGCATTCGGTACATTCACATTCCTGTGTGGCCATGACCACCATCCATTTCCGGGGCTTCTGCATGATCCCGAACAGAAGCTTGCACGCCCTGCGCCACGCCCCCTCCCATGTCAACCCCCGTAACCGCTGGTCTTCGTCTCTATGAATTAAACTATTCCAGGTACCTCCCATCAGTGGAATCATAAAATATATGTTCTTTTGCATCTGGCTTATCTGACTTAGCATAATCAGACGACCCCGTCTTAACAGACAAGTAAACTGAGGCACAGAGAGGCTATGGGACTCGCCCCAGCTGTGTGCCCCTTCTCACCGCCTTTGCGTCTCCTCTCTGTTCTGACCGTCCCCGTGAGGGTGGAAGTATGCCGGCCATGCCCACATTTCACTGAGGAAGAGAGAGAGCGGCCCCACGGTGCTATGAGTCCCCAGAATTAAGACCTCCAAGTTTGGTGCTCACACATTCAGGAGAGCCACACAGCTCTGCCCAGGAGAGCCCAGGGCCTGAGCTGGGCCAGGGTTTAATGGGGAGCAACCAGGGACCGCCATGCCTCTTTTCAGGTCCCAGTGTCTCTTTTCTGAGGGTGACTCTGTAACTAGGCCCTGAGGGTTGCCTCGGGCTATGCTAACATCACCCCTCCTCTGGATTGTCTGGGTAAGGGAGGGGACAGGAGTGAAGTCAGCAACATGGCCCAAGAGGCCGCCCAGGGCAAAGAAGAGCCTGATAAGGGACTCTGGCCTTCAGGTGACCCACACTGCCTGGCACAGCCTCCACCCCCATGCCCTCCTGGGCCTCCCAGGCTCAATTTGTGTGTGTGATTGGGGAGGGCCAGGGTGGCTGGGAAGATTTTAGGATATAGGAAACACATTTATTGTGCTTTCAACGTAAGCCTGGGGACCCAAGAAAATCAGGCATCTGGTAAGGGAAGGGAAAATGAAGGATCTTCCCTGGGCCCTACTCACCTTCTTACGCTAATACTTAAGACCTTTTGTGATCTGGCCCAGTCCATGTGTCCACCTGCCAGTCTTGTCCTCCACTCCTTGATCCTTCCATGGAGTCATGCATTCGGTAAGTATTGACTGAAGACACCTCCACCCAGGCACAGCGTCAGTCTCTGGAGCCACGGCTGCAGCTGTGAGGAAGACAGATGTGCCCGCCCTCCTGGAGTTCCTGAGCTGGGGGTCCTATGGCAAAATCCAGCATGAACGAAATAATCAGATGATGCCTAAGCACAGGCAGTACCCAGGGCTTTGGGGAAGCCAGGGCCTTGTGAGGGACTGGGGAGCAAGCTGGATTAAGACTGGGAGTCACGGAGGGCGCCGCTAAGAGGCTGCAGAGCAGAGGGATAGATGGAGCCGGCCAGGCAAAGGGCTTCAGGAAGATCAGCCAGGCAGGGGGAACAGCACGCAACATGGCCCGGAGGCGCCAAAGAACTCGGTGAGGCTGAGGAACCTGGAGGTCAGGCAGTGTCGGCCATCGTCAGTGAAGAACAGCCGGGGCAGTGGGGCCAGGACCTGCGCAGGGGCCACCCACTCAGGACTCGGGGCCAAGCCAGGAAATGAAAATCGTCAGAGTGGAACTGGGGGACTTACCGTAGGGGATTGGAAGCATTAGAAGGGGACAACGAAGGCCGGGCGCGGTGGCTCACGCCTGTAATCCCAGCACTTTGGGAAATCCCAGCAAAGAGATGGTAAAACCCCATCTCTACTAAAAATACAAAAATTAGCTGGGCGTGGTGGCGCACGACTGTAATCTCGGCTACCCAGGAGGATGAGGCAGGAGCATCGCTAGAACCCCAGAGGCGGAGGTTGCAGTGAGCCAAGATTGTGCCACTGCCCTTCAGCCTGGGCGACAGAGCAAGACTCAGTCTCAAAAAAAAAAAAAAAAAAAAAGAAAGGGACAATGAGATCACAGCGTAGTAGGAAGTTGCTGCTTCCCAAGGCCAGGGGGACAGAGGGAGGAGGTGGCTCTGCTGGAATTCCAGCACCATGGAACCAGGAGGAGCAATTCTGGCAGCAGCTGGAGCCCTCAGGGTGTAGACTTGGCCAGAGCCGTGCCCAAGGCGGACAGAGAGGGGGGCAGAATCCCCTGGCATTGGCTTTCCTCCTGCCCTCCAGGCTCTTCCCAGCTGGGAGCCAACTGATGCAGGAACCAAAACAAGGCCTGTGTGGCCTTGGAGAAGACACTTGCTTTGAGCCTCAGTTTCCTTTCCTGTTAAAGGGACCCATCAGTCCGGCCTTGCAGGTCTGTGGTTAAGGCAGGGCTGTTTCTCTGCCTGGCACTGGGCCCCAGCTCAGCCCTCTTAATCTGCAGAACTTGCCATTACTCCCCTGCCCTTCTGGGCTCCCTGTGTCCAAGGGGCCCTGAGGACTCAGAAATGAGTCAGACCCTGGCCTCTAGGTTCTCCACTCACTTGGGCCAGGCTGTGGTTGCAGACTGTGCGGTGCTCTCACAGAAAGCAGGCGGGTGGGTACCTTTCACTCCAAAAGGAGCGGAGAGCACAGGGTGAGGTGGGGGCTGGAGCTTCAGAAAGGAGGCTGCATCTGGAAGGCCAGGGAGGACCTCTTGAGGGCTCTGAATGTCAACCTGCATTGCATGAACTTGATCCTCAAGGGGAGGTGGGGGACAGGCCTGGCAGGTGTGCATTGGGAAAGCCCTGTTAAGAGCCAGTGCATGTCAAGCGCCTTGGAACTGTGCATCGGGGATGGTGGCCTGGAGGGGACGAGCTGGAGGCAGGAAGACTAGGGAGGAGGGTCTTTCTAGAGGAGCTCCAAGACTCCCCTTGGACATGCTTTCTGGGACTGCTAGAGTGATTCCTTCTTTCCTGTCACGAAACACCTCTCCCTGTCCTTGAGCCGGGATTCTGAAAAGGTCTCTGGTTCCTGGGCCAGCCCCACCCTGCCCTGCCTTGAGGCCACATCTGCCACACCCTCAGCCTGGCCTAAGGTGCTAGTTACTTGTTGCTATCTCTGGGGACCTTCTTGCCAAGACTGTGCCGTGGAGGGGGTGGGGAGGGGAGGAGCTGAGAAGAGGGGGATGGGCAGGCCAGAGGTTGTGCCCGGTGCACGTGGGATGGAGTATAGGGTGATGCTGTGCTGGGCTGTGTGTGTATGTCGGGGGCGTTTGTCTTGGAGGGGCATGTAGAAGGGATTCCAGTGGTTCACTGGGGGCTTCGCCCACCACTTTTTAATTTTTATTTTTATATATTTTTTGATACTAAGTCTTGCTCTGTCTCCCAGTCTGGAGTGCAGTGGTGCGATATCGGCTCACTGCAACCTCCGCCTCTCAGGTTCAAGCAATTCTCTTGCCTCAGTCTCCCGAGTAGCTGGGATTATGGGCGCCCGCCACCACACCTGGCTAATTTTTTGATTTTTAGTAGAGATGGGGTTTCGTCATGTTGTCCAGGCTGGTCTCCAACTCCTGAGCTCAGGCAATCTGCCCGCCTCGGCCTCCCAAAGTGCTGGGATTACAGGAGTGAGCCACTGCGCCCGGCCACGCCCCCGCTCTTAGTTCTCCCTTCCAACCTTTTCATCCATCAAAGGTTACACTGGGACCCTGCGTCTGTGAGGTGGGGAGATATCTGAAGCTAGACTGGGGATCCCCTCCCAAACGGGATCCTGGGGACTGGCAGACAGCTCAGCTGCCCCCCACTCTCCATCATCCCCAGGGCTCCACCGCAGCCCTGCTCCTCTGTCCTGTGTCCAGCCACCCTGGAAGAGATGGGGGTGGAGTGCAAGGGACTTCAGTGCAGGGAGGGGCTGCAGGGAGGAGGAGGCGAGGTGGGTTTGAGGCCAGAAGACGGAGGGAGATGGGGAAGAAGAGGGGCACCCAGAGCAGCCGACAGCAAACCTAGTGAGCAGTGACAATCAAAACAGGGGCGGTTCACTGAAACTTCTGTGTGTCTGCTGGCTTCACACACTTTATCTGGCTTAATCTTCACTAGTATTATTCTTAAATTTTAGTTTTGTAAATGTTTGTATTTTATTTTGTTTATTAGCTGGAATTGCTAATGCATTTACACATTTGAATATTTAAGAGGTGTGTGCAATACTGAGTCTCCATCTCCCCCGGCTCATTCCCCAGGGACCAGGCTCCCTCCCTGGAGGCAGCCAGCTTCGCCAGCGACTTCCCTCCTCTTCCAGGCTGTCTGCGCAGACAAGCAAACATATGCATAGAAAAGCAAATATATACACATACATTTCCCACTTTTTAACCCATTAAAGGCTGGCATTCCATCACCCGAGTCTTCTGACTTCTTTTTCCACTTGCCTACTTACTAAGGCTCGGAGAGGTTAAGACAATCGTCTAGAGTCACACAGCGGGGGTGGAAAGATGGGCGGCGACCTCAGTCAACCGGTGGAGTGG
This sequence comes from Homo sapiens, assembly GCF_000001405.40. Taxonomy (NCBI): domain Eukaryota; kingdom Metazoa; phylum Chordata; class Mammalia; order Primates; family Hominidae; genus Homo; species Homo sapiens. The sequence goes on along the minus strand of NC_000022.11, from coordinate 37,335,391 downwards.
GATGGAGGGGACAGGATCGGTTTCCGGTAAGAGAAGCGGGAGGAGGCGAGGAGAGCGCGGGGAGCGGGGAGGAGGACGGAGGCGCGGGGCCGGCGTAGGGGATGGGTGGCCAGCCTGGCGCAGAGACAGGAGTCTGGCGGGAGAGGGGAGCCGACGAGATGCGGAGGCGAGCAGGTTCCTGCTCCTGCTGCCCCCGCCCTGGCGGTTGCCGGTGGGACCTGCGACCACCGGAGCCCATGACCCTTCTTTACGCCCCCTATCGTATACTACCCTATCCAAGGCTGGGGTGGGGGCTTCTTCCTGGATGCCCCGCTCCGCCCACGCCCAAGTTCTCCGGCAGAGCCTACAGGTCCTCACTCCCTGCCCATCCTCGTTTCCAGCCTCTCAATCAGGCCTGCGAACGGGCGATGGCGATGCGGTTCTGGGCCTGCCCTAACCCTCTGAGCTAGGACCTGCCATCTGTGAAATGGGTGCATAGTGTGTGGGGGTGGGGCGGGGGTGACTCGGCCTTGGCCGTTCGAGGTTTGGGGATAGCTCGGTGACACCGGCCCCCTCCACTCCGATTTGATGCTCCCCCCAATACCTGGGTGCACTCGCCCCCCTTCCCCGCTACTCCTTGGCTTGGGGGAGGGGGTGGGTGACAGTCCCTGAGCATAGGCGGTCCTACCGATCCCCGCCCGCGCCCCCTTTCCAGATGCTCCTGGGCCGACGCCGCAGGTCCGGGCCAGCCCGGAGCGCCCAGGCGGGGCCGCCGCGGGCAGCCTCCGCGTCGCTGAGCTTTAATGAAGGCCCCCGCGGCGCCCGGCTAATGAGCTCTGGGCCCGGGGTGCGCGCCGTTCCGCCGGGTCTTCGGTGCACCGCCGGGTCCTAAAACGCGGCCGCTACTGACTGACCCTGGGTTCGATTCCCAGCCGAGACGTTTCTGCTCCATTCCGGCAGGAGCTACCTTCCCGAGCCGCGCTTTGCTCACCTGTAGGAGAGCTAGAGGGAAATAAGACAGCCCTTCTTAGGATGGTGGAGTGGCTAGAAAGAAGCAATCCACGCCAAAGGCTTAGCTCAGTTCCTAGACTTAGTAAATGCTCAATAAATGTCTGCCATTGTTATTATTATTTATTATGCTTCCAGCTGGCCTGGAAGGAGGGTTCTGGAGCCAGAAGGGACCTTGGAGAGACCTCGGTTAAATCTCTAGCGCCATCTTTATTTTTAGGATGGAGTAACTTGCTCAGGACCTACATCTAACATTGTGGAGGGGATGCGGTTTTTAAGTAGGAATTCTTGACTAGACCTCTCAGCAACCCTTCCTCTCCGTGACAGTGGGCGCTACACCCCTGTTCCCCTTCACTCTGTGTGTTTGTTCACCTGCTTTTCTGAAATGTCCAAACTGGAAGGGTTGTTAGCTATCTTCTGGCTAACATCTCTCACTTGCTGTGTGATTCTGGGCTAGAGGCTCACCCTTTCTGGGCCCATATTCACACCTGTCAACAGAGAAGGCTGCACTAGCCTGGCAGTTCCCAAACCCCGGCTACATATTGGAATCATTTGGAGAGGCTTTTTATCATTTTAATTTTTATTTACTTATTTATTTTTATTTTTTAAGAGACAGAATCTCACTATGCTGCTCAGGCTGGTCTTCAACTCCTGGTCTCAAGGGATCATCCCCCCTTAGCCTTCTGAGTAGCTGGGATTACAGGCATGAGCCACTATGCCCAGCTTGGAAAGCCTTTCAAAAATGCCAGTTTGGCTAGGCACAGTTCACGACGGCAATCCCAGCACTTTGGTAGGCCGAGGAGGGCAGATTGCTTGAGGTCAGGAGTTTGAGACCAGCCTGGCCAACATGGTGAAACCCTGTTTCTACTAAAAATACAAAAATTAGCTGGGCGTGGTGGCAGGTGCCTGTAATCTCAGCTACTCAGGAAGCTGAGGCAGGAGAATTGCTTGAACCCGGGAGGTGGAGGTTACAGTGCGCCAAGGTCGTGCCACTGCACTCCAGCCTGGGCCACAGAGCAAGACTCCGTCAAAAAAAAAAAAAAAAGTCAATTTCTGGCCCCTCCTCAGAACCCCCAGGGGAATCTGCAGCCAGCCGGATCCTGGCCCTGGGCCTGTGCCTGGGAAGCACATACCTTCCAGCTACGACTGTGAGCCCCTCCCCAGCCCCTTTCTGGGACAGATGGGGACACTGAGAGCCAGAGAGGGGAGATGTGTAGCAGAGTTGGAACTAAGGGCCAGGTGTCCATCCCGCCAGTCTCTGCTCCCACTGGGATTCCTGCCCAGCCTCTGTCCACTCCGAAGGCTGGGATGAGCGTCTAATGACCGTGTGCAGGGAGAAGGTCGGGGGCAGGTGAGGAGCAGGCAGCCTGGACCCTGCCTCTAGTGGACAGTCCCCATCCCCTTGTCTGACCCCAGGGTTGGGGGGGCCTGCCTCACTTTTCTGAGCTGACAATTGTAGGGTCTCTTGGATGCTCCCACACACTTCGAGTGCCCACAGCTCCCCCACGGGGTACCCGGGAAGGAGAGAAGCGGTGGTTGCGGGGGAGAGGGACGGCAGGAGTACAGGAGTGAGGCTTAGCTGTCTATGGCCTTGGGGGGCTTATGTTCTTGTCCTGGCTCCTGAGAAGGAACGGTTTGGGAGAGGAACTGATTGAAATGTACTTTGCGTTTCTGGAAATTGAAATACTCAATTTGAGAGCATAGCGGCAATTAGTGTTTAATCACAGGAGGATAGAGCATGGGTGGCTGTGCCTGAGCTGGGGAGGACGGGTGGGCTGATTACCCGTCCTGCTTCCTGCTGTGGGGGCTGAGTCCCATTCCTCCCCTTCCCTAGGACAGATTAAAGGTGTAATTTGATGAATCAATTTGTTTTCTGGAGGAGAGAAGGGAGAAGCAGAAATCTCATAATAGCTGGAAGCAAGTTGCTCCATCCTGTCCTACAGGAGTCTTCATCAAGGAGCCAGGGGCGGTAGGGAGGCAGACCCAGTAGAGGAGGCCTCAGTGGTGTCTTCCTTTGAAGTCATGCACACCTGAGTTCAAATCCTGGTTCTGCCATTTACCAGCTGCACGACCTTGAGAAATCCACTTAACCCTCCACTTCCTCATTTCTAAGAAGGACAGCCCAGCAGGGTAGCTGGGCTAATATTTAATATTAGTCAATGTGCCTTCTGCAGTGTCTGGCACTTAATGGATGATCTATAAAGGAGAGAGGATACTGGGGGTAGGGAGGGGTGGGCTGAGACAATTGACCCCTGCTGGGCTGGACTTGAGGTTCACGGCCACATGGTTCCCTGTGCAGCGCCCCGTGGGTCCCAGCAGACACAGCACCATAATGGGAGACTTCTAGGCCGAGAGGGCAAAAGCTTCAAACAGCAGGCGGCAGCACCAGCTGTGTGGTGGCTGGGAGCTGGTCTAGCCTCCGCCTTCCTTCCAGAAGTCTCCCCAGCATCCTCAACCAGGTCAGATCCCCCAGCATGACTCAACATCCCTTCGACTTCCCTTCTGCAGCCCTGTAAGTGCTGGGGGTGCTGTATGTGGTGGTGGGCACCTGGCATGCCAAGTTCATAGCAGGTGCTCTGTCAGTGCAGAGCTGGGCACTAGTGGCCCAGGGTGACAGGCTTTGGCTGGCTGGAGCAGGGCTGGGTCAGGGTCGGGAGAGGCTGGGCTGCAGCAGAGACAGCTCAGGTCTGAGTCAGACAGACCTGGGTTCAAATCCTACCCATCCCTCCCAGTGTTGGGGTAGGGGGCAAGTTGCTGCCCTTCTCTAAATCTTATTTGTAATTTGCTTTCCTGGGCTGGTTATTAAGAATAGTAGAATTTGTCTTCTACCTTCTCCTGGCAGGTGGATGCCTTAGCTCAGCTCCAAGGGACAGTTTTGGGTACTGAGAGGGAACAGGGATGGGGAAGGTGGCCTCCCTTTTACTGAGTCCATACCAGGCCCTGTGTTAAGCTCTTTATGCACTCTGAGTCCTCATCACTCCCTTGTAAGGCAGGAGTAATTCTTTCCATTTTCCAAACAGAGAAACTGAGGCTCAGAGAGGTTTCCTGGCTTGCTTAGTCTCAGCAGCGAGGAGCCAGTTGTTGAACGTGGGGTTGTGTGACTCAGAGCCTGGGCTCTGTCCAATCCCAGCTGGCAGTGGGGGAAGGAGGGGCCTGGGCGGGAGGCTGCAGCTGGGCGTGGGTGGGCAGGTGGGTGCAGAGGCCCATAGATGCTGGCTAATGGGCCCTGGTGGGCCCGGCGCTAATGGGCCCTGGAAGTGCCAGGCGTAGATTTAGTGGGAAGGCAGGTGCTGGCTGCAGTGGGCCAGGAACTCTTCTGCCCCTCCTTTCCCTGTCCCATTCCTCAGGCCAGGGAGGAGGGGGAAGGAGATGGGGGCTCAGGGAGGGGGCATGCACCTAGCTTTGCCACTGACCCTACAGCTGGGTCTCAGCTTTCCCTTCTGCCCAATGGGTGAATCATTCCCTCCCCTCAGGTTTTGTTCTGAGTACCAAGGGCCATACTCTGTAGGAATGAATGCTGTAAAAATCAGGGGGCCACTGAAGTAGTGACCCCCACCCCAAGAAAATGCTCTTTCTTTGGAGACTCTCAGGGCTTTAGGGATAGAAGCAGGTGTGCCCCAATTATGCCAGTTTCCCTTTTCTCCTCCCCGCCCCCAACCCCTGGCAGTCCTAGGTGAGGGACCGCACAGCCAGGCCTGAGTGGGTGGGTAGGTGGCGCTGGCGCAGCCAAGAAGTGCCTGCTTCTGATTGGAAGGCTGGTTTCCATGGCGACCGATTGATTGCCCAAGCTGCAGACTCAAGGGGAATGAGCAATGGGGCCTTTCTCCCAAGCTTCACTGCTCAGGCTTGGGCCTGGAGGCCAAGGCAGGGGTGACATCTTTGTGTCCTGTCAGGGACAAGGGGCCCACTAGGGAACAGAAGGGCACCTCAGCCCAGAAGCCACCACTGGGCACCTGCTGTGTGCACATTCTGAGCTAGCAATGGAACAGGAGGAGGGGACCTAGCATTTATGAAGCAACTACTATGTGAAAACGAAGCTGCTGGGACTAGAACCTGGCCCAGTGGAGTCCCAAGCCTGTGAGCCTAACCACCAGGCTGTGATGCTCGTCCATGCTGCTTGTGAGGACTAAGCACATTTATGGGACACCAGCAAGCATCCTTGGACCACCAGACTGTAACCCCGCTCACACCAAGCTCTGAGGGTGAGGGTGAGACAGTCATTGCTGAGGGAGATCAGGGCTGGGGTGAATGTTGGAGGAATTAGGGAGGAGGATTAAATGTTTGGGGTGAGGGTAGGGAAATAAAGGCACCCCAGGCAGGGCACTGGCTTGGGCAAAGGCAATGAGGTGGAATGAGCTGGCCGTGTGGCAAGAGTTGGCCCCTCCACCTGTGATGTGGACTCGAAAAGGAGGGGCGGCCGTCTCTCTGATTGTTAGCTATGCAGGCCTGTGCCAACCACACCCTACCTCCCCTTTTACCCCTTTCCCATGCCCGTCTTCCCACCTATTCTGTCCATTCTGCCTCCCCCTCACTGGGGCCTGGGTGAGTCCCTGGCCCTCTGGCCACAGAGGTCCCACCGGCCAAAGGAGAAGGCTGGCACCAGTGGGGCTGCCTCCAGGACTCCAGCAGGGGATGGTTTCTCCCCGTCCCCTCCACGGTCTCTTCTCAGATTCCTTCTTTCTTCTTTCTCTCCCTCTTCCTTCTTCCCTGCACGCACCACCCCCTCCAACAATATTCTCACTGTCTCTTTTCCTGCCCTGGGGGTGATTTTGTCCGATTGATTGCCCAAGCAATCTGAATTGCTCTGAATCAGAAATCTGACTGGTCCCTGCCCCAGCCCCATCTCCATCGTGAACCCCATCCCCTGGTCCCACCCTGCCGCTGCCCTGCTCCCTGGCTCCTGCCCTGCCTGGCTCTGTCCCTCTTCATCCCAAACTCTCACTTGGCCCTTGGTACTCAGGACAAGACCTGAGAGGGGGAATGATTCACCCATTGGGCAGAAGGGAAAGCTGACACCCAGCTGTACAGTCAGTGGCAGATCACTGCCCTGCTCCTATCCCTGCTCTGCCCTGCCTGCCTGCCCCGTCCCTGTCTAGCCCCTCCCAAGCCCTGGCTTCATCTGAGCCTCTGCCACAGTCTTAGGTTCCCAGATGGGCTCGCTTAGGTCCTGGCCTCATTGTCATTCTGTCCACGCCAGCATCAGTCGGTGGCTGCAGGCACTGTCGGGGGTGAGGGGGAGAGAGAGAGAGAGAGGGAGAGAGAGAGAGAGAGGGAGAGAGAGAGAGAGAGAGGGAGAGAGAGAGAGAGAGAGAGAGAGAGAGAGAGGGAGAGAGAGAGGGAGAGAGAGAGAGAGAGGAGGAGAGAGAGAGAGAGGGAGAGAGAGAGGGAGAGAGAGAGAGGGAGAGAGAGAGAGGGAGAGAGAGAGAGAGAGAGAGAGGGAGAGAGAGAGAGAGGGAGAGAGAGAGAGAGAGGGGAAGAGAGAGAGGGAGAGAGAGAGAGAGAGGGAGAGAGAGAGAAAGAGGGAGAGAGAGAGAGAGGTTGGGGCTGCAGGTTGCGGGGAGCTGTAGGTCTGCTCTCTGAGCCTCCTCTCAGAAGGACAGAAGTGTTGTGTACAGGCTGGAAATAGCTGTCCATTATTGAGTACCTACTGTGCGCTAGAGAGGTTACAGTATCTCTAACCTCACAGCAGCCCCAGGAGACAAGTAAAAGGGACTCTTCCTCTTTACTCCAAGAGCCGAATTGACATCTCCATAGTAAACATTGGCAGGATTCATTTGGGACCCAGGTCCTCCTGGTCAAAGCCCCTGCTCACTGCCTTCTGCTGTGGGATTTGGGAAATGGGGTAGCTGGTCCCTACTGCAGGTGCCCCTGGATTGCTGAAGCCCTGTAAGATCTCCAAGGATGGCCAGGGCCCCCACAGGCACAAATGTGGGTAGGCTAAGGAGGAGAAACAGGGAGGGGGAACTGCATGAATGGAGGCTTGGAGGCCAGGACTGCTTCGGGAAGACTGTATGGGAGATGCAGCTTGAGACAAGGTTGCGGGGGTGAACCAGAGCCATTTCATATAGGGCTTCAAGACTTGAAGACCAGGCTGGGCCTTGACAGAGAGAACCTGGGAAGCATCTGAAAGTTGTTGAGCCAGGGAGGGAGATGATCCCAGCTATATTAATTCCTTCCTTCCTCCGTTGACTCATTTATTAAAAATTTATTGTCTTCTCCGCGGCATGCCTTTGCTGGGACTGGTGATTCAGAAATACTAGTCATAGGCCGGATGCGGTGGCTCACACCTGTAATCCTAGAACTTTGGGAGGCCGAGGTGGGTGGATCACTTGAGGTCAGGAATTCAAGACCAGCCTGGCCAGTATGGTGAAACCCCATCTCTACTAAAAATACAAAAATTGGCCGCGTGTGGTGGTGGGCGCCTGTAATCCTAGCTACTTGGGAGGCTGAGGCAGAAAAATCGCTTGAGGTGGAGGTTGCAGTGAGCCATGATTGTGCCACTGCACTCCAGCATGGGCAACAGAGAGAGACTCTGTCTTAAAAAAAAAAAAAAAGAAAGAAAAAAGAAAAGAAATACTAGTCACAGTTCTGGCCCTCAAGAGGCTCACAGGCTCACCAGGAGAAACTCATGCATATTCATAAAGGTACCAAAGTCCCACTGGTACCGAGATAGGTTTGTATACTGGGGCAGTGGGAGAAGGGGGAGAGACCTGGAATGGCTTCAAAGGCTTTGGTCCTGAACTAAGTCTTGGGGGTCAAGTAGAGGATGCAAAGCCCATTGGACTGGGAATAAAGAAGGTTCCAGGCAGAGAAAACTGAATGGGCAAACATCTGGAGGCTTGATACAACCTGCTGGGCTCAGGGAAGTGCTAGCAGTTTGGGTGTTTGGTGGAGGGGGGTGGCTCAGCACCTGTGCTGCACTGGGGATCCAGGGAGGAGGCAGGTGACCCTGGCTACAGAGTCGGGGATGAAATGAAGGGGGGAGCAGGGAGACCTGGAAGGAGATGATGGAGGCTAGAGTTGAAGGAATGGAGAAAGACTGCAAAATATCCACCCATCCATCCATCCATCTAGAAAATGTTTGCTGAGGCCGGGTGCGGTGGCTCATACCTGTAATCCCAGCACTTTGGGAGGCCGAGGTGGGCAGATCACCTGAGGTTAGGAGTTCGAGACCAGGCTGACCAACATGGTGAAACCCTATCTTTACTAAAAATACAAAATCAGCCGGGCATGGTGGCGCATGCCTGTAATCCCAGCTACTTGGGAGGCTGAGGTAGGAGAATTGCTTGAATCCAGGAGGCAGAGGTTGCAGTAAGCTGAGATTGCGCCATTGCACCCCAGCCTGGGCAACAAGAGTGAAACTCCGTCTCAAAAAAAGAGAAAGAAAATGTTTGCTAAGAACCAGTGTGGGGCAGGGATTGTGCTGGGTGCTGGAGGTGGAACCGGTCAGGCTGGGTCACTGACGGGAGAGGGTGGCTGGAGGCCAGGTTGATAAGCTTGGAGTGAGGACAAGCAGGATGAATGGGGGCAGGGGATGAATATCTTGAGTTCAAAGTGCATCCACCCAGGTAGCCGTGATTCGGGATGGGGAGGCAGCAAGCAGCAGGGGCTTGGCAAAAGTCAAAGGCATTTCTTTTTCTTTCTTTCTTTCTTTTTTTTTTTTTTTTAGACGGAGTCTCACTCTGTTACCCAGGCTGGAGTGCAGTGACACAATCTCAGCTCACTGCAACTTCTGCCTCCTGGGTTAAAGCGATTCTCCTGCCTCAGCCTCCCGAGTAGCTGGGATTACAGGCATGCGCCACCACTCCTGGCTAATTTTGTATTTTTAGTAGAGATGGGGTTTCTCCATGTTGCTCAGGCTGGTCTTGGATTCCTGATCTCAGGGGATCCGTCTGCCTCGGCCTCCCAGAGTGCTGGGATTACAGGCGTGAGCCACTGCACCGGGCCGGTCAAAGGCATTTCTAAGATGGGTGCTGCCAACTGTGCTCAGGGCTTTCCCAGCCTTCACTTCATCCTCACTTAATGGCATTCCCATCTGTCCAGGTGAGAAAACCGAGGCGTAGAGGCTTCATCGTTGCCCCATTATTGCAGGGATGGGCAAAGCTTTTCTGGAAAAGGCTACATAGTAAATATTTTTGACTTTACGAGCCATGCTTCTTGGTCAAAACTATTCAACGGTGCCACCGTAGAGGGAAAGCAGCCATAGACAGTACCAGAAATAAGTGGGTGTGGCTGTATTTTAATTAAAAAAGTGGATGAACATGGAAATTCAAATTTCATATAATTTTCACATGTCAGGAATTTTTTTTTTTATCTTCAGAAATAGAAAAAACCTAGCCGGGTGCAGTGGCTCATGTCTGTAATCCCAGCACTTTGGGAGGCCGAGGAGGGTGGATCACCTGAGGTCAGGAGGTTGAGACCAGCCTGGCCAATATGGTGAAACCCCATCTGTACTGAAAATACAAAAAAATTAGCCGGGTGTGGTGGCCCGTGCCTGTAGTCCCAGCTGCTTGGGAGGCTGAGGCAGGAAACTTGTTTGAACCCAGGAGGGAGGGGCTGCAGTGAGCCGAGATCGCACCACTGCACTCCAGCCTGGGCAACAAGAGCGAAAACTCCATCTAAAAAAAAAAAAAAAAAAAAAAAAAAAAAAAGAAAGAAAGAAAAAGAAAAAGAGAAAAAAAAGAAAAAAAAACATGCTTGGTTTCTGGTTGTACCATAACAGTTTGACAGGATTTGGCCTAGGGGCTGTAGTTTGCCCACCCCTTGGGGGATGGTTGGGAGGTGGCAGAGCTGGGGTTCAAACTAGGTTCTGCGAGCCCACGGGCTTCTGGACCAGATCAGCTCCAAGTGTGTGCCGGACCTCAGCCCCCTGGTCTTTCCCTTTCGGGTTGGTTCTCCCATCTTGGGATGCACAGAGCATCCTGCTTCTACGCTGCCCATTTTGGGCAGGAGGCAGTGTGCCGGGCAGGCCAGGGGATCTGAATCCCCCAACTCGGAAAAGGGTCCCCGCCCAGCCACTTGCCAGCTTGGAAGACTGGAAACCTCTCTAGGCCTCAGTTTCCCCACCTGTAAAGTGGGGCATAGCAGATAACTCACCCGCAGGGTCGCCGTGAGGCTGCAGTGAGAATATACCTTGAAACGTCTCCCCACCCCGCGGCTGCCTCAGTTTCCCTCCTCCCCTCCTTGCCTCTGAGCCTGGTCTACACCTGCGCCGCGGCCTCTCCCACCTCCCCCACCGCCGTCCCCCTCCTTAATGCGGAGAACGACATCCTGGGTGTCTCCCAGCTGCCTCCTGCGCACGGACGGTTTCTCGAAAGCTTTTAAAAACGAGGCTCCCTCCCGGCGGCGGCAGGGAGGGTGGGAAGGGGGGCGCCCACCCTCGGGAGCTTCCCCGGTGGGCGGCGGCGGCCGCTCCCAGCCTTTTCGGGAGATCTCTGGCTGATTATTATGGAAATCAGGCCCCAGCAGCGCGCCCGGGTGGCGCGGGAGCGGGAGGCGCTTGGTGCGGCTGAGACGCGCTGAGGACCCGCTCTGCCAGCCAAAGGAGCGGTGCGGGGGAGGGGGCGTGGGAGCTTCCCGCGCTCCTGGGACACGCGTGGCCTGTTCTGGCCCGGGTGCCCGGGTGACACTGTTCCCGCGCAGGGCCGATGGGCTGAGCTGCAGCCGGAGGGGCTGGGGTCGCGCACGGAAACCTGGGCGCCCAAGTCTGGGAGTTCATTTCCGCCGGGACCTGGGCCCTTGATATCAGCGGTGCTGGATATTTTCAGTGCAATTAAAGGCAAAGGCAGTGGGGTTCACGCCACCACCCCAGGAACAGAACTGGGGCGTGTAATGAGCTCAAGCCCTGTGTACTGGGCGCGTGTACTCGGCGTCCAGCACCGACCTCAGGGCGCTGATCTATTTAAATCCTTCCGTTGACTTGGGCATGGTCAGGCCCATTTTATGGATGAGACAACAGAGACCCAGAGAGGCAAAGCTCACACGGCCAAAGCAGTCGAGGAGAGACCTGAGCTGGGAGTTGTCCAACTCCTCTGGCCAGTTCTTACACCTTCGGTCATCCTGTCTCCAACCTGAGGATGATGCCTTTGACCTTCCAGCCGCGCATCCAGCTCTGGCCTGCCCTGTGCCTCTCTGCGGGGGGACTCTGCAAATGGGGAGAGAGACAGCGTGGCTAATGTCGAGGAGAGCTGAGGGTGGTGGGTTGTCCTGGTGCTGAGGGGCTCTTGGTTTCTGACTATGCCTTCTATCACCACCACAGGGTTTGAGTTGAGCCAGGATCCCCCACCCCCACCACCCCTCAAGGTGCAGGAAATCTCATCATTCAAAATCCATTTCCTTTATATTGTCACATTCTGGAGAAGGGCTCCAATCTAAGCTTAAAAGTGATAGAGAAAATAAAAATGGGAAAGTCAGATGGATTCGGCCACTTTGTAAGCCAGAAAAATGGCCCCAGCAGACAGGTGAGCAACAGCTTTGGAAAAATCTCTAGCAATCAAGAACGGCCATGGGGGTTTATCTTTGCTCTGTAATGATCCCAGGCAGACGGAGAGGAAAGGCAGAGAAACCTGCAGGTGAATGGGCAAAGGGCAGGAGCGATGATTCACACTAGAAAGGAAACACAAATGCTTAACCCTCACAGGGAGAAAGTCCATTCCCACTCAGATATGAAAGGAATACAAATGTTAATCAATGCAGTTCCATTCAAACTCACAAATATTTTAAAACATAAAGTTATTTAATTTACCGCTGAATAACTGTAACTATTTTTAACTGAACTCATGGTTACCCTGGTAGTCCATCCTCCCAACTGCTCCAATTCACAGATAGGAACCTAGGCTAAGAGAGGCTAATTGCATAATTTGCTCCAGGTTAGACCTCTGGTGAGTAGCTGAGCAGGGTCACCTGTTCGGTGGCAAAGTGGTGGCATCTGGCCGGGCGCGGTGGCTCATGCCTGTAATCCCAGCACTTTGGGAGGCTGAGGCAGGTGGATGACCTGAGGTCGGGAGTTCAAGACCAGCCTGACCTATATGGAGAAACCCGGTCTCTACTAAAAATACAAACTTAGCCAGGTGTGGTGGCACACGCCTGTAATCCCAGCTATTCAGGAGGCTGAGGCAGGAGAATCGCTTGAACCCGGGAGCTGGAGTTTGCAGTGAGCCGAGATTGCACCACTGCACTCCAGTCTGGGCAACAGAGCGAGACTCCATCAAAACAAACAAACAAACAAACAACAAAAAAACCCACAAACAAACCACACACACAAAAACGCAAAGGTTAGGCTTCATCCCAGCCCCCGTGGATCAGAAACTCTGGCGCTAGGGACCAGCAATCTGTTTTAAGGAGCTCTCCAGGTGAGCTGGAGGCTACAATTAGAGAATGACTGCTCTGGGCTCCAGGAGAAGGTAAGGAAAGCAGGTACGTGCTTTCGCTGCAGAAGGCAAATTGTATTGTTTCAACCTTTTTGAATTACCTATGGATAACAGGTATTGTGAGCCTGTAAACGGCCACCAATGGCACCTCTGAGAAGCCACTGAGAAGTAGACATGGTTTTATCCATGGAGGTATTTAAGACAATGTATTTATAAACATGGAATACTGGAAACAGTCTGAGTCTCCAGCAATAGGGGACTGGGGAGAGAAACCTTGGTTCATCTAAAAGATGGCTGCTGTGCAGTTTTGAAAAGTGAGTGTGTAAAGACCGCACAACGTGGTACAATAGGAGCAGACAAGTCCTCCTGGGTTGCCCAGGACTTTCCCAATTTTAGCACAAGAAGGCCGGCATTTTGGAAAACTCCTTGGTCCTGAGAAAATGGGGACAATTGGTCACCCTAGCTATAATCGGCACTAGTGCCACACCCCAAGTATTACTGTCCTCCCATGTTGCATGGCCGGTGGTAGGATGGTATTTCATCTGGCCTTGCAGTGAGGTAGCTATGTGACATGTTTTGGCCAATGCAATGTGAGCGGAAGTGGCATGTCACATCCAGACAGCGCTCCTGGCAATTCATGCCAGGATGGCACCTCCTCAGCCTAGGTCCCTGAGTGACTATGATAAGCAGAGACTCCATGCCGATCCCTACCCTGCAATCCCAGGGCATAGGGTGTGAGCAAGACATAACCTCTTGTGGTGTGTGAAGCCACTGAGATTTGGGGATATTTGTTGCCACAGTGTAACCTAACCTGTCCTGGCTGGTATACACGTGGACATCCGGATTTCATAGTTTTAAGGCTTAAGTGTTAGGCCGGGCATGGTGCCTCACACCTGCAATCTCAGTACTTTGGGAAGGCCGAGGCGTGCAGATCACTTGAGGTCAGGAGTTCGAGACCAGCCTGGGCAACATGGTGAAACCCCGCCTCTACTAAAAATACAAAAATTAGCCGGGTGTGGTGGTGCATGCCTGTAATCCCAGCTACTCGGGAGGCTGAGGCAGGAGAATCGCTTGAACCTGGGAGGAGGAGGTTGCAGTGAGCTGAGATTGTGCCACTGCACTCTAGCCTCAGGGACAGAGCGAGAATCTGTCTCCAGAAAAAAAAAAAAAATTGGCTTAAGGTTACAAAACTGCATTTGCAGTATCATTGCAGAGACATAACAGGTGTGTTGGAAATATTCTGAAATGTTTACAAAATTATCAGGTAGAGGAATTCTTGGTCTAGGTTTTTTTTTAACTTTTAGGATTGGGATACATGTGCAGGTTTGTTATATAGATAAACTGCCATGTGAGTTTGGTATACGGATAATTTTGTCACCCAGGTAATAAGCATAATACCCACCAGGTATTTTTTTCTAATCCTCTCCGTCCTCCCACTGTCCACCCTCCAGAAGGCCCCAGTGTCTGTTGTCCCTCTCCTAGTATTCATGTGTCCTCATTATTTAGCTTCCACTTATACGTGAGAACATGCGGTATTTGGTTTTCTGCTCCTGTCTATGTTCGTTTGCTTAGGATAATGGCCTCCAGCTCTAGCCGTGTTGCAACAGAGGACATGATCTCATTTGTTTTTTGGTCTAAGTTTTTCTTCCTCTTCATTGCGCTTTCCAATTTTCTGCAATGAGCATGTTTTATTAATTTTTAAATGGGGGACATTTTCTGAAAAAATCATTTCTTTGGATCAAAGGTTGGTCCCCTCTGGGCTCTTATTTATGAACTGAAAATCCCTTGGGGGAGGGAGAAAGAGAAGAGTTAAGCTTTAGCCTCAAAGGATCACAGGGACTGGAAAGGTCACAGAATTAATCCTGCCCTTCTGCTGGAGCCTTCTAGCTGGTGGCTCCTCCTGGCCTTAGCAATTGGATCAGATGCCTGTTCCTGGTCGTGTGACTCTGGGCAAGTCACAAGCTCTCTGAGCCTCCACGTCCTCATCTGTTAAATGGGAATAATCCTGTTTACCTTGTGGGCTCCTGGGAGGATCAGATGAGATGAAGTATGTTCTACAAATGCCGGCGCCTTCTGCCTCGGTCTTCTTCATGGAGCCTCCGTGCTGGGTGACTTAGGGCGTGTGCCTGAATGTCTGTGACCTTTGATTTCATCATGGAAGAACAGGCAGGGTGCTTTTTTAGGCCAGGGCATTTCTGGATGGGGCTGGAGGCCCCCGTACAGAAGCTGAGAGGGATGGAAAAGGAGAGGGCTTGTAGGCCTTGGTGTTCAGCAGCCGAACAAAAACTTTGAGCCTGGCAACCCCAGACCACGAAGCCAGCCCACCAAAAGCCAAATGGTGAAACCTCTGGAGTCTTAAAGTAGCCCCGGGGACAGGGGTGGTCAGGGAGGGCTTCCTGCAGGAGGAGAGCTGGCAGGATGGCATGGACAGCCCCCATTGCCTTCCATGGTTCTGTCCTGTTCAGAGTCCTTGAACTCAGCCCTCTCGAGGGAGACTCCATCAAGAATATAACAGTGACAGCTAATATCTGCTGACGGCGTGCAGTAGACCAGGTTTACCCAATCCAGTGTCAGTCCACACGGTGCCACTTTGGGGTAGGACTTGGGGAGACTCACCGTGGAGAAAAGTTCGCTGGGTGAATTGGTGGCTGAACCCCATCTGCTCCGGAGGAAACAGCTGTCCTTTCCTTCTCCAGGATAAAGCAGCCACGGGGCACAACTCTTCCAGTCCACAGGGCCACCCAGAATGACCCCAGTTCCTTGCTGCACCTTGTGGATATGTCTGATCTCTACCGTGACCCTATGTCTTGGGGTGCCTGGAGCAGTCCTGGTTTCTGCCTGTTGTCCTGGCGTCCCCTGGAATCCAGATTCCAGCACTCATAGGAAGGGCTATTATGGATGATGAGTTTGTGGTCGCCCTGACACAGGTTTCAGATCAGATGGCGCTGGTTCCATGCCGGCTCAGGTCCTTCTTGGCTGGGCCAGAGTGCGCCTGAGGGCCCTTCTCTGTAAAATGGGGATAGTCACGCCTGCTTAGGGAGTGCTGGAAGGTTGGAAGACAGCATGTAGTGGGAGGCGCTGGCCTTAGCGAGTGCTCCATGGTTGGCGGCTTTGGCCATGACATACTGATGCTGGGCATGGTGGGGGTGGGCCGGGGTGTCCAGGGCAAACCTGGGTCTTTGTGGGTTACTTTTGAGGGTCACGTGCTGTTAAGAACCCACACACTGGGATTGGAACCCAGGCCTGCAGGTGGACCCCAGGACCCAGGTGCCTGCCAGTACACACCACTGAGCCAAGACTAAATGGCCAAGAAAGGGGAGGGGGCGGAATCGGGCAGACAGGGGAGGGAGGGGCAAGTGGGAGAGGTGGGAGTGGGGAGAGGAGGAGGAGATAAGAGGGTGAGAGGGTGCGGAAGAGGAGGTGGGAAGGGCTTTCTGCTGAGCCCAGGACTCTTGTCTAACTCGCAGCTGAAGGTGTCCACGGGGAGGTCCTGCTGCCCCTCTGACGCAGTGTGACCTGTTCACCTCCCCTCCGCCCGACTCCTTCCCCACACCTGCCCTTCGCTGGGCTGTTTCGGGGAATGCTGTCACCTCCCACAAGTCTTAGCCCCGGAGGCCCATCAAGCCTCTTTCCTCCTGTCCAGCGACCGCTCTGTTCCTCCCTCACCTCCTCCAGCCCCCTGTGGCCCACCTAGCCTCCTTAATCCATCCCTTGAGTGGTCGATCCTAGGGGCTATCCCCAGACGGCTTCCAGCCGTCTCTCTCCTGCTTTGAACCCTTTCCTGGCTCCCCGTCACCGTCCTGGTAAAGTCACCCACGCAGGCTGGCCAGTGTGTCTCCGCTTCTGTTGCATTCCAAGTCCAGCTGTTCTAGGCAGGCCTCCTCCAGGCCCACCAAAGAATTCACCGCTTCTCAAATGTGCCAAACTCCTGTGTGGGGGCTCCGTGCTCCAGTCTCCCCAGGCCCCACAGCCCCTCTTCCCTCATCCTTACCGTCGCTCCCAACGCTGTCCCCATAGCGAGGTCACTTCATCCTCCTCCGCCGGCCCTGCCTGCAGACCAGATTCGCCCACGTTTCTCCAGAGCCCAGCGCCCGGCCTGGAACCACCACGGGAAGAGCATGTTCTCCCCAAAGAGGCCCTGTGGAGTCTGGCTTTTCTCCTGGAGGGTGGTTGTTGGATCTTGGGCAGAGGAGGCTGTGCTGTCAGGAAGAAGCCAAAAGGGATGGGACAACATTGCCAGACAGGGAGGGAGGTGGGGCTGGCTCGCGGGGACGGTCCAGAGAGGGTCCCCACTGGGCCAGGATCACATGGCAGTTTGGGGCAAGGCCAGGATTTTGACCCAGATGTGTGTCACTCTCTGGCTTCATTCTTCAGCCATTCTGGGTGCAGTCTGGAGAGTTGGGAGGCATGCAGGAGTGAGTGGCTGGGTCTCTGGTGCCCCTCAGAGGCCAGGCTCTCAGGACACTTGGGGTAGGAGGTGGTCCTCCCATTGAAGGGAAGGAGGGTCTGGAGCCTGCAGTGTCCTGGTGGGAGCAGGCCTGTCTTTGATGCTCACACTTGCAGACCCCTGGGGAAGGCCTGAGTCATCACTGAGCCGGCAAACATATTTAGCTCCTTTTATGTCCCTAATAAATCAATTTCTCCAGGTCTTTCATACCTGCCACTCGACTCGGGCTGCCTGCCCCCATCTCCTGTCCCCTGGCAGCTCTGTGTGCCAGGCTTCAAGATGGAGGGGCTCCTCCTCCCCAGGTACCTGGCAGGGGCCCACTCTGCCTTCTCCAAGCCCCGCTGCCCTGGCCTATTCCAACCCAGAGCCTTCTGTGCCAAGCTAGTCCTCCCTCAGGCTGGGATGTCTCCGTTCAGCAGCCACATTACTGAATGCCCCCTCAGAGCTTCATGCGGCCAAAGCTGCAGCCCCAGAGCTGCAAGGATCCTGCACTGTGCACGCAGCTCAGTCCCAGCCAGCACCCAGCCTCCCTCAACCTTGCATTCTTTTGACTCACTGGGGCTTGTGTTTGGGGCCCAGGGGAGTTCCAGAAATACCTTGCCTCGACCTGCCCTCCTTGTCCTGTCTCCTACTGGCCCCACTGGCTGGAAGGCTCAGACCTCCACTTGGCTTATCTTTCCTGAGCACACCTCTTCCAAGAAGTCTTCCCAGATCTCCCCCACTACCCCACTGCCCACATGAATCTTTCCCCCTCAAATGGCCCCAATTCCATGTTTTTGTAGCTCCATGAATGCATGCCCACAGTCTGCCTTGTGACCATAATAATAGTAGCATGTAACGTCCCAGGAGCTGCCTAACGCTGTTGTTAGCATTTTACATATATTTAATTATTTCCATTTTATAGATGGGAAACCTGAGGCTCAGAGAGCTTAGGAAACCTGCTTAAGGCACAGGGTAGAGGTGAGCCTTCACCATGGCCCTCTGGGTGGCTCTGACGGCTACGTCACCCCCCCGCCCCGTGCCCTGACACAGTAATGGCTTTCGTGGTACCTGCTCATCTTCCTCCCCCGCCATCCCTTCCAGGGCAGGAGCTGTGTTGCAGCGGTGCCTGTTGCATGTGGAAGTCTCCCTTCAAGGTTTGCATCATGGAACTCACCTGGCCCAACCTCTCAGGGAGGAAAATTCCAACCAGAGAGGGTAAGCAACTCGTTCGGGGCCCCACAGCCAGAAAGCAAGAGTGCGCGAATCTCCCAGTGCCAGGCCCAATGCCAGCCCCAGCAGGGGTGACTGTGCCCAGCACGAGTGGCGGGGAGGCCCATGCTTGTTTGTGTCCATGGGTGTCTACTGGGCTGCTCGAGCCCTTGGGCCCTGATAGACCAGATGTCTCCCCCTTTAGGACGTCCAGGCCAGGGCTCTACTCCGGACAGAGACCCCGTCCCTGCAAGGGACAGCCAGTCAGCCCTGTCCAGCCCCGTCCAGCCCTGTCCAGCCCTGTGCAGCCAGTCCAGCCATTCTGACTGCAGCGTTGAAACCTCTTATCCACGTGTGGTGGGAGCCCCCTGCTGACCAGAGTGAGGAGTGGCAGAATGGCAGGAAGGTGAGCAGACATGCCCTGGAGAGACTCAGGGGGCCAGTGAGTCAGAGCCCAGCTCTCCATGCTCCTGGCTTGTGATGTGGCCTCTCCAGGTACTCCTGCATCTCCTGGAGGCACCAACGTTCTCATAGCTCTCTAGGCCTCTGGACATTTGCACCTGCTGATGCTGAGACCCAGAGGGCCTTTTATCAGTTAACTTCAGGTGAACTAGCAGTTATTGTGCACCTATTGTGTGCTGGGCACTCTGAGTATGTGCAAGGTCTGGCCCACAAGGAGCTCACAGTTCAGTGTGGGGCAGACATGAAGTGAGCTCACTGCATTATCAGGTGCGTGTCCTGTCCCCAGCCTGGCTGCCAATACTTGAGCACCCTCCTCAGAGAAGCCTCCCCGGATTGCCCTCTGCCCAGCCCAGCCCAG
Source organism: Homo sapiens (assembly GCF_000001405.40). Classification (NCBI taxonomy): domain Eukaryota; kingdom Metazoa; phylum Chordata; class Mammalia; order Primates; family Hominidae; genus Homo; species Homo sapiens. The sequence goes on along the minus strand of NC_000022.11, from coordinate 37,316,577 downwards.
CCCAGCCCTCCACTGCCTGCTCTGCGTCCTCTGGAACAGCGTGTGTTCAGTACTGCAGGGATGTGAGCCCCATGCAGGCAGGGATTCGGCCTTGTTGTACCAGTGTCTGGGACAGTGCCTGGCACAACGTAGGTGCTCCATAAACATTTGTGGGATGTACAAATAAATGAAGGTTATTGAATTCAAGCTCCTCCGTTACCCACCAAGTGATCCTTGGAGCAGCAGTGCTTGCACTCCTCCAGCAACGGGGAACATTCTACTCACCTCCCGTGGCAGCAGGCTCTTTCTCTCTCTCTCTTTCTGTCTGTCTGTCTGTCTGTCTCTCTCCCTCCCCGCTCCTTCCTTCCTTCCTTTCTTTTTATTTTGAGACAGAGTCTCACTCTGTTGCCCAGGCTAGAGTGCAGTGGCATGATCTCGGCTCACTGCAACCTCTACCTCCCAGATTCAAGCAATTTTCCTGCCTCAGCCTCCCAAGTAGCTGGGATTACAGGCTTGCACCACCACGCCTGGCTAATTTTTTGTATTTTTAGACGGGGGGTCTCACCAGGTTGGCCAGCCTGGTCTCGAACTCCTAACTTCAGGTGATCTGCCCGCCTTAGCCTCCCAAAGTGCTGGGATTACAGGCGTGAGCCACCACGCCTGGCTCTTTTTTTCTTTTGAGATGGAGTCTTGCTCTGTCACCCAGGCTGGAGTGCAGTGGCACCATCTGGGCTCAATGACACCTCCGCCTCCCAGGTTCAAGCAATTCTCCTGCCTCAGCCTCCTGAGTAGCTGGGACTATAGGCACCCACCACCACGCCCAGCTAATTTTTGTATTTTTAATAGAGACGGGATTTCACCATGTTGGCCAGGCTGGTCTCGAACTCCTGACCTCAAGTGATCCTCCCACGTCGGCCTCCCAGAGTGTTGGGATTACAGGCGTGAGCCACCACGCCTGACCGGCAGCGGCTCTTTCTATCGTTAGACAGCATTGCCTGCTGGAAAGTCCTTTTGCCTTTCCCTGGGCTTGTCAGAACCAGCTTGCCTGCACCTGCTCTGTGGAAGCCCCATTGGCTGTCCAGCCCCTGGGGATGGCTCCTGTGCCAGTGTTCCGGGGATGGGGTCGTAGGGCCCTCTGAGTGACCAGCCTCCCTGCCTGGCCCTCCTGCCCTCCACTGGGAAAGGGACGGAGGTGGAGGGCCCGGTGGGGTCAAGGTGGCAGCCGCAGTCACAGAGAGGACAGAGCCCACTCACGAGTTGGATCAGGAGTTTTATTCTCTCTTTGGAATGACTCCCAGAACAGCCACTTATGCCCAGAAAATCCATGATCCCATCTCCTCCATGATGGAGGAAGCTGAGGACCAGAGAGGGGAAGGGAGTAGACTAAGGGAGTAGCCAGTGCATCCCAGGAGCAGGACAGAATCTCTGACCCCTGACCCCTAGCCCAGTGCTCCTTCCACCACCCCTGGCTGCTCCTTCATGGACCAATGAGGTGACAGAGGCAGGGCCTAGTTCACAGGCTGACAAGAATCTGCGGATGTCCTCAGATGTCCCACAAGGTGTCCTCCTGCAGACGCCCAACCCAGACCTTGTCTGCTGCAATATCACTACCAGTGCTTGCAGACCTCCAGAGACAGGAGTCTCACCACCTCGCAAGGCAGCTACTCCATCCTGACCCTGTGGAAGGTGTGCAAATGTGGGGGTGGGTGGGGACGAGGAGAGGTGCCTCGCGAGCTGCGGTTCCTTCTGGGGGATCCACCTGCTTCCTTGCCCACTCAGGCTGGCAGTGGGGCAGAGGCGGCCACATTTCCTGTTCCCCTGCCAAGGAATTTCCCTCCAGGGGCTCCCCTGGGCCTGTGTGAGGGGGTGAGAAGTGTTTCCTGTTAGTGGACTCCTCCTCCAGGCCAGGCCTCCCTGGAGACAGAGCTGGCTGCCCGGGTACTGGAAGTCAGCTCTACTCTGATAATACTTCTGCAGAGGGTCTCGAGATGCTGGGACCCGCCGGGCTGCCCTTTATCACCATGGGACTGCTCGTCAGTGGTCTTGCAGGAAAGCCATGGCCAAGACTCTCTCTCTCCAAGCATGAGCTCTGTGTTACTTTCTGGCTCAGCCACTGCCTCCAGGCAGCCCTCCTGTTAACCACAGTGCACGAAACTCTCCCTTCTTGGCTTCTTGGATATAGCACCCATCCTGCTTGAGTCCCATCTGTCTGGGATGTTCTCCGTCATTTTCTTGAGGGTCCCACCTGCTCCTCTCCCCGAAATGGACATCCTGGAAGGTGGAGTCTATACTGCTTTTCTCTCCCCAGCAACGTTGAATCCGGAGTCAGCCTGGGCTCCGCAAACAACGGCTGCCATCTCCAGCTGGAAGCTGGAGCACAGGGCTAGCAGGGGCCAATACGTTTCTAGTCCAAACACTGCAGTTTTGCAAGAACTAGAGAATGGGCATGACTTGGCAGAGGGCACACAGCGAGTCAGAGGCAGAGCTGGGACTGAGCTCGTGGGGTCCGGGCTCCTAGGGCAGTGCTCCCGGGGTTCTGTCCCGGGGTCCTGTCCGTGGGTCTGAGCTGTGTGTGTGCTGAGCTCTCTCAGGCAGAGAGGGCCAAGCCCAACCCGAGGACAGGGGAGGGGTTGGCAGAGATATCCCTGAAAAGGAAGAGCCTTGCCAGGGAGAAGAATCACTTAGGGACCCCACGGCCCCTCCTACGTTGAGGGCTGACAGCATCTAAGTGCAGAGAGCGCCTTCAGAGCCGAGGACACCGAAGTCCAGAGAGAAGAGAAGTTGCAGCATTCTGGGGCTGGTTTTCCTCTGGCTGCTCTCCTCACCCCTTCCTGTAGTGCACGTAGGGCAGGGGCCTGCAGCTGGGTGCCCAGGCCAGGGGGCCTCATTGCTGGACTCTGAGCCCACTGCAGCTCCCACCCACCCTCCTGAGCTCTGCCTTCCCCTCTAGAGTCAGCTCGAGGTAACGGGGAACAGCAATGATGTCTGTGGCCCAAAAGAGTGCACTGGGGTGGGAGGTGGGTCTCCAGGTGCTGCAGGCGATGGGACTCTCAGGGTGACCAGCCCCCAGTGCCACCTCCAGGAATCTCACTGCTTGCTGGCAATCTTCTTCTTCCGAGTAGAGACCAGGTCGTAGAAGGGGACACGGGTGATGCTGGCTCTAGAATGAGTGGGAGGAGAGATTTCAGGGCTGGACTGGCCGTCAAGGTGGTCTGCTCTCCCAGGGCTTGTATCAGGGGCATGGGATTCCCAGGGAGGTGTCAGCCTGCTCTGCCGCGGGGGAAAGGCCAGATGGCCCCAACAAAGGCTGTGCCAGGGTAAGTCCAGACTTGTAAGCCTAACCCAGTGTCCCATGGGCAGGGCCAGAGTGGGTGAGGCCTCCGATCAGGAGCTGAGAGCCTTGGGAATTCTACTCCCAAATGTCTCTGGGCCCCTCTCCAGGCTCCCACTGGCGACCTTCGGAAGGTGATGGGAAGAGCTTGGGGTGGAGCTGGCAGACCTGCCTGTTGGACCCTGCTCTGTCCCTGGTTCTGTGGCCTGGGCAGGTCCCTCCCATCTCTGGGCCTCAGTTTCCTCATGTGTAAGATGGAGGTGAGAATGGGTCTGCCTGGCAGCCTCACAGGCTCACAAGGCCCAGGGGAAAAGACCCTGCAAGTCCCCGGGACACGGCCCCTGCCCAGCAACCACTTCAGCCTTCCTCTGGCCACCAGGCCTCACCCTTGCCAATATCTTGGGCTGGCTCAGAGTCAAGCCTTGAGCAGGCTTGCCATCTTGCCCTTTACCAGATGCATCTTCCTCATGTCTCTCCTGTTGGTGGCACCACAGAACCAGTCCCTACACTTTGGCTTTCCTCACCCAGCCACCCCTCCCTATTTATGAGTCTATGGCTCCCCAGTGCCCCAGGAGAAACTGAAGCTCTTCACCACGGTGGCTGTGGCTTTGTCATGCTCAGCAGTTTCAGCTCCCACACTGCTTAGCCTCACTCGGACTCCGGGATGCTGTGCAGGTAGGCCGCCTGCTGGTTGCCCACATGGGTCCGGGTCCTTTTACCTGGAAGTTTATCTGGAAAGCCCTTCCCTCCACCTCCACCAGGTCCTTCCCAGGCCACTTTGGATAGTGATGCCAACAAGAGCACTCACCACGTGCCAGGCAAGGGCGGGGCAAGAACTTTATGTGCAACTCTTTGCTCTATTCTCCCACCAACCCCATGCAGGTGGTCTCTCCTTTCCCTGTGTCCTGGGGCCTGGCCTGGTGCCAGGCACACAGAAAGTACCCATGGAATACGGGTGGAAGGGGTTTGCCAGCCAGAAACAGGAGGGAGAGACTGGAGTTAGCCCCTTTACAGATAAGGAAGCAAGACCCAAAAGAAGCAGGGCCTTCTGGAAGGTGACGGGAAGCCGTCCCCAGACCTGGGCACCCCTTACCGGATGGACTCGATCCACTGGTCACGTTCCTCGGCACTGGTGGCTGAGATGCGGTACGATTCGTGCTTGCCCTCCACCACCCTGCCGTCGCCATCGGTCTTGCAGGCCTTGATTTTCTGGCCTCGGCAGCTAGGGTTGTAGAGCTCCAGGCAGAACTGTGGGGAGGTGGCCAGGCAAGGGTGGGAAGAGAGGGAGGCTGGGTGGGCCCTCCAGGAGGCTCAGAGAAGCCCAGACGCTAGTGTCCCTGATCAGCGTGACAGCCCTACGACAGGCGAAGGGGCAGGAGCTGCTGCTCCCACACTGAGCACTCTCTCTGTGGCAGGCTCCTGAATCCACCATCCTCCCTAAAGTCCCCACGTGACATGTGGGCTCACTGAGGTTCTGAATGGAGTGGAGCTTACTCGGGGCCATCCAGCCAGTCGGGCTGTGTGGGACAACAGGGGACAACCACGTCCTTGGACCCACATTGACCTTTTCTCACTGTCCATGGCCCCAGGAGGGAGAGAAGGCAGCCCTGAGCCACAGGGAAGGTGTAAGGGGCACAGCCTGGCTTCCTGGAGAGCCCAGCCTCAGGCCCTCTCCCCACGTTCTGTTTAGGAAATTTCCCAGTGGCTCCAGCCTCGGGATCCTGCAACCTGAACACCTACTGGCTTCTTGGGGTCATCCACCTTCTGCACCGAGAGGTTCTCAAGAGGTATAATTCCCCGTGGCTCCTTGTCCTACAGGGAAAGGGGAAGGAAGGTCAGGGTCAGGAAGCGGAACCCTGAGGCCCAAGGCAGGGTGTGAACGTGTGGGGTTCCCCAAACTCAAAGAGGAGCGTGCTCATCTTCCGAGACTGTCCAGTCATAGGGGGACGGAAGTTAGAAGCAGCATGTGAAGACCTCTGGCCGGAACTTAGGAGGCCCAGCTTTAAGCCTGGGCTCTGCCTAGGACCTTGGCCCGGCCCTCCTCTGTGTACCCGTTTTCCCCATCTGTAAAATGGGCATGGAGGGGGACTGAATGATCTCAAAGGATCCAAAGCTGTGTGAGTCGACTGCTCAGTGGGAGTTGGGAAGTGGGTTGTGCGGGGAGAGGCGGGGGCAGGGGAAGGCCCAGGAGAACCCTGCTCACAGTGGTGAACTCGAAGTAGTAGAGGCAGTTGTCGGTCAGGATGAACCAGCGCCGTTTCCACGTCTTCACGCGGCCCCCTGCGCAAGGCCAATGTAGCAAGCTGGTCAGTCCTCCTCCTGGGCCACTGACACCTCCTCCAGGGAAGGGCAGGTCCTCGGATGCTTTCCCCTGGACCCCCAGCTGAGTGCCCTAAACTTCGTCCACCACACCTCCCCCCAACATCTATCCCTTTCTCAAACAAGAACCTTAGTGGCTCCTGTAATCCCCAGGCTTCCCTGGAGCTGCTTGAGCTGGCGTTTGGGTGGCCTCCGTGATCAGGTCCTAGGAATGGTCCTAGGAATGGCCAGTTCCTGCTCTTCCTGGCTACCGCCATCCATTGCTTCATTCCTTAGCTTGGTCCCTGCCTGGCACAATGCTAAGCATTTCGTCCTTCATTTGCCAGACACTGCTCTAGAGGTTTCAAAAAATATTACTTATTAATCCTCACAACCACGTATGAAGAGGAGACCATTGTTAACCCCATTTTACAGATGAGGAAACAGTCATGGAGAGGTAAAATCGCCTGCCCACGGTTCAGCAGCAGAGCTGGGATTCGAACCCCAATGTCCTAGTCCCAGAGCCCAACTCTTGGCCATTTTGCCGCACATTTAACCCTCCCAGAGATCATTCTCCCCATCTTACAGCTACAGAAACTGAGGCTGAAGAACCTGACCATCAGTACTTGGGTGGAGGAGCTGGGGTTTGGGCCCAGGGCTATGTGACTCTGAGGCTCCCTCTCCCATCTGAGTTAAGATTTATGACATAGAGCTTCTCGGGGGCGGACAGCACGTGGCTGGGGCAGGACAGGCGGCCGAGTGCTCTGGAGGAGGATGGACTGGGGTGTGGTGTGGAGAGTCAGAGGGCTCATGGGCTCCTGGGGGTTCTGGGCAGGACTGGCACGGGGCTTGGTAGACAGGAGGTGCTGGAGGCTCAATGTTGCTGGAGGTGAGCCAGGTTGAGACCCCTGCTTCAACATGAGGCATCTGTCCTCACCTGCCCTGGAGGCGCTGTCCCCGGCTTGGCTGTCCCTGCTGGAGAGGCTTCCGGAAGTGTGTGTGGGAGGCAGGGGCAGACGGCCGGGCACTGGGGTTGCCCTGCTGGACTCTACAGCCACTATTACTGCAGCTCCCACCCCAGCTGCTCTCTGCAGGGTGCAGGCCCTCCCTGCCCCCAGTCAGCTTGAAGGGAGCCTCCCCCTAAGCCACATCCTGTCATCCTTCCTCCCCTCCTTTAGGGACACCTAACCCTCTGTGCCCTCAAATCTGCCCCTGGCTGGCTGTGTGGCCTCAGGCAGATCCCTGACTTTACTGTTCGGCTGTAGGGTGGACCAGCACCTTGCCTGAGCTCAGTAGGTTCTGAACAAATGGTACTTCCTGCTATGACTTCCCTCCCCATTCCGCTGGGGAGAGAGAAACAGAACCGCAGCTGAAGCATTTGTCAGTGGGTCTGTCTGCCTCTCGCCCGGCTTACAGCTCAGCCCCCACCACTGGCTCCCTTCCTTCTCGGGACAGGTGGATGGATGGGGCAGGCAGACGGCTGCACTGGGGGCCAGGAGACCTGGGGCTGTCCAACTCCATCCCCCAGGATGCATGTGAGCCTCGTGTCAGCTGGGGGCCTGTGCGTCCAGGAGTGTGCATGCAACGATGTGTGCCCGCGCGTGCATGAGTGTGTGTGCGACGACGTGTGTCTGTCGGTCTCTCACCTAGCTTGAGCAGCCAACCCTCCCGGTCTGGATTGAAGAAGGTGTGAGTGAGGTCATTGCCGTCGTCCTCAGGGATGGAGAATGGCTCACTCTTGATGCTGTCGAAGAGGTTCTGCCCCAAGACAAGGGAGAGAAAGACCTGGCTGTGAGTCCACCCGAGTCCAAGGCCTAGGCCTGGCCTGGCCTGTGTGGCCTTGAGCAGGTCACTCACCTGCAGGCATACTCTTTCCTCACCTGTTTATCGTGGTCCCTGGGCTTTTCTTGGTGAGCCCCTCCCTGGTTCCCTCCATTCAGCCTGGGCCTGGTCTTGCCACCCTGCCACCCCGCCACCCCGCCACCCCGGTCATGCTTCCCTCTGTGCTACTGCAGGGCAGAGCGAGCAGGGGTCAGCCCCTCAAACACACATATATACAAATATACATGCTTACACACACACACGTGCACACACACGCACATGTATGCACGTTCACACACATGCAGGCACACTTATATAAATGCATGCTCACACATACATGCACACACATGCATGTTCACACACATACACACATGCAGGCACGCTCACACATACATGCACACACATGCATGCATACTCATACATACACGCACACACACATGCATGCTCACACATACATGCATACTTACACATGCAAGCACGCTCACACATATATGCACACATACATGCATACTCACACAGACATGCATGCTTATGCACACATACATGCACACTCAGACACATATACACGCTCACACATACATGTATACACACGCACACTTACACACATACACACACTCACAGACACATATACACACGCTCACACATACATGTACACACATGCACACGTACACACATACACACACACTTATATACATGCACACTCACACACATGCACGCTTGCGTGCATATACATGCACTCTTATACATGCATGCACACTGACAATATACATGCACACATATATACATGCATGCCCACACACACATGCATGCTTACACACACAGACACAGACACACACAAACACACGTATTCTCTTTCTGTCTCTCTGTCTCTGGGGCACAGCAACCTTGGCAAAAGCCATGGGAGGAGGGTCCTCTCCTGCTTAGGTGCAGCAGCAGAGAGGTCCCTGAGTTGAGGGGCCCCTGAGGAGCCACCAGGGAGGAGGATAGGCCACTTCCTGTTGAGAGGCCCAGCTGAGGGAGAGCCCAGGGTGGGATGCTGGCTGTGGCTCTCAAAAGCCCCTCTCCTAAGCAGACCTATGCTGGATGGGCCGGGGTGGGGTCTGGGGAGTTCCCAGAAAGCAGACTGCCGTTCTCCACGGAAGCCTTTCTGGCAGTCAGAGCTGGTGACGTGGGAGAGCAGCCCTGTAGGATAATGAGCTCTTTGTCACTGGAGGTAAGTAAGCCAGGTCTGCGAGTTCCCTGTGGGCAAGGTGTGGCTGCTGGTGCCAGATCACCCCTGTGTGCTTTGAATCTCCTGCCATGAGATATTGCGTTCTATGAGCAACCTGCCTAGATTGCCAAGTGTTTGGAGAACTATTCTAAACTGTCCATTTCTGCTTATTCAAAGCAAGCGCAGTGTTATCTCAGAGGATGAAATCATTTCCTTTCGCTGTGTTTGTGTGTGCTGTTGCTCAGATGTTTCTGTTCAGATGCTTTCTTCGAGATTTTAAGTGAAAATTCTCACAAGTATCATTTGACTCTCTCAAAGTTTTAGAAATGGAGCTTGCTGGTTCTTTAAGGTCCTTTCTGACCTCAGAGCTCAGGGGTCCAGAGTCAGGGGTGGGCTGGGAGTGGCTTCCCTGGGCTCAATCTGGCTGTGGGGCTATGGGGGTGGGGAAGAGCAGGCACCAGTTTCTCTCTGGGAAGCCCCTACGTGCATCCCCGGGAATTCCCAGGTGGCACTGGCTGGTTGAACAAGCGCCTGGAACAGGAAGGCCCCATCAACAAAGCTGTCAGCACAGACAAATATTTGGAAGCCCAAGGAGCTGTGCAGGGGGGCAGACGGGGGTCTTCACTGCCACAAAACCCACAGGGGGACCCAGCAGCTTCTGCGGTCACTGTATCAGCCTGTACATTCTGCCCCCGCAAAGAAAACGGCTGAGTTCACCCACATTTCCTGTCCCCTGTAAACACCAGCCTCTCCTGCAAGAAAACGCCTTGCACGCACTGCCGCAACCCCTGGGCCTAGCTGTCTCCTCCTGGCTGGGTGGATGTGCAGAAATGCAAGGGCCTCCTTCCGGTGGCCCTGCTGGCTCTGTGTCCCTCCACCCCCACCTCCTCAGTTTCCCTCTGGGGAGTTTCTGCTCCTCTGTGTTCTGTCCAGGTCACTTGGCAGGGTTGACACCCACAGGTCCCCAGCCCCAGGCTCCAGGAGGGGGTGAATGACTCACATCTGGCTGATTAGAGCATTTCATCCTGCTAGCCTCAGTTCAGGGAGTTCAGTTCAGGCCCAAGCCAGCCAATAAGCATTAATCCTGGGACTTTAGCTGAAACAGCTGAGGAGGAGGACTGTGAGGGCACGGGAAGGCCGGGCCATCTCTGCCACACCTGGGCAGAGCTGGTTTAAGAGATAAATTAACACAGAGGAGGCGGTTGCTGAGAGATGGGGCAACTGGATCAGGCCGTGATGTCACTGGGCACCTGGATCTAGCTGAACCTGAAGCCAGCATTTCTGAAGGCAGATCGATCTCTGATCTTTTCAGTGACATGAATTGAGATTCCCCTAGCTAGGAAGTAACTGGTAGCTGGAAAGCACAGCCAAGTCCTCCATCCCCAAATCTTGGCTTCTGGCCTCTGCAGAGGGATAGGCGCTGAAGTCAGTCATGGGTTTGAATCAGGACTCCTCATAAACTATGAGACCTCTGGCCAGCTACCTCTCATGGAGCTCAGTGTCCTCTGCTGTAAACTGGGGACGGGATGACTTAATAACGTAAAGTACTTAGTACTGTGTCCAATCCACAGTCCATTCTGACCGAGAGGCCTGGGCAAGGACCCAGGAGGTGCAGGGCTGCCTATGGCAGAAGATGCCTGGAACTGGGAGACTGTTACTCTGCCTGGGCCTCAGTTTCTCCAACTGTAACACCGGAGAGTGGAGTTCTTTGTCCCCTTATCTCCTGTGCCTCTTCCACCCTAGCTCCCCCTCCCACAGCCCTCAGGGTGGGTGGTTCCTCTCCTAGCTTTTCTCAAGGCCTGCCAAGTGCCAGGCGCCTGACAGCTTCTCAGAAAACAATATGAAGCCAGCATCATCAGCCCACTTTGCAGATGAGGAAGCTGAGGCTCATGTCCAAGGTCACACAGACATAAGGGCAGAGCTGGGATTTGACCTCCCATCCCTGTGAGTCTGAACTCACTGTGCCTTCACCCTGAGCTTCTTGGGGACTCTGCCCCTGCCCCATCTGGATGGCCAGAGCAAGGTTGGCTCAACCCTCCTGTCCCCTGACTACCACTGTGCACCTCTCCACAGCCTTTCCCAGCTGCGCATCCTCATGGTCTGTGTACCCTTGAGGTGACCTCTCTTTGGGTCACACCTGTGTAGACTTAATTTTGCAAATTGGGCCACTTAAAAGCATTACATGTCCTCCTCACTTAATGGGCCCAAACTGGAGAATCCTTCTGCAAAGTGCTGACCTTTGACTATCTGAAGGTGCTTAAAGCTGAATCCTTGCTTTACATATGGGGAAAGTGAGGCCCAGACAGAAGGCAAGAGGATCCCCACATCCACGCAGCTGCCTGTGTGTTTCTTTTTGACCTGGGAAGCTTCAGGATTGATTAGCCACTCCAACTACACCAGGCACTTGGCTGAATACCTTACACTTCTGCACTAATCCTATGAACTGGGGCTCAGAGAGGTCAAGCCACTTTCCTAAAGTCACACAACCAGAAAGTGGGGTAGCCGGGACTGGAGGTGGTTCTGAGTCCAGCGCTCTGTTCTTTCCCTTAGTCTGTGTCTGCCTCTCTGGGTTGCCAAAGAGGATAATAAGGGCTTCCTAAACCTCCCGGGCAGATTTTGAAGCTAAATTGAGATAATAGACCCCAAAGCCTGGTGAGAAGAAACTTACAAGTTCCATACAAATGCAGTGCATTGTTATTAACAAAAGGCTCGAATTGGGAAAAACAGCTAAGGAGGGAGATGCTGAAGAGGGCTCACTGGGAGCTAGAGGCAATAATGTGGCACCTGGGAGAGCGGCAGGACCAGTGCTGGGAGGTAATTAACTCATTCCCTGCCAGACAAGGTGTGCCCGCATAGCACCACGAGGACCCCAAATGAAATGAGTCACCAATGCTCAAATGCTGTTTAAAATGTTTCAGGCATTTTACTAAATGCTGGGGCTTTTTTCATTATTAATTATTTTTAATAGTGACTTAGGCCACAGGCCCTACTTTAGCTGGGGAGCCACGCAGGAGGCAGGTATTATATACCTGGCACAGGCTCTGCCCGTAACATTTAAAACAGTTACTCCCTGTGGCAAGTATTATTATCTCCACTCTCCTGGTAGAGGGGATAGTGGCTTCAACTCCAGTGAGTCATTGCCCAAGGTCACCTAGCAGGCAAACGGGGAAGATGGGAGTAGACCTGAGCTCCAACCAGCTCTCAAGCTCTCATGCTACGGAGTGGCTCCTCTCTGATGTACTTTCTCCTTTTGGGACCAGGCAAGAGGTGGGTTAAGGGTGAGGCAGTTCTCAAACACCGAGGGGCACCAGAATCATTCCAGATCCAGGCTCCACCCCAGCCTTGGAGGCAGGAGGTATACTCGGTGCTGAGCTGGGACCGTGGTGTTCGCGCCCCCTCTGCCCCTCCCTGCTGGGCTCTGACCATGGAGGGGATTGAAGCTCAGGGGGCTCTGGGGAATCTTCAGTCCTTGAAGTGAACTTGTCCATTCATTTTTCCTAAGCCAGGCTCTGAATCTCTCCTTCCTGTTCTTATGAATACCCCCTGGCTCCCTGTGGCCCATAGGAAACAGGCAAACTCCTGAGGCTGTCATTGGAAGCCCTGGACCCTCTGGCCCCACCCTGTCACCCACTACTGTGCATATATACCACACCTCGGCCACACTGGACACCTCTCCTTTCCCAATCAGGACACGCCTCCGTTCTGGCCACTTCTTCTTTTTGAAATGTCCTTTCCCGGCTTCTCCTCTGGGAGCACTCCCATGTAACCTTCAAGGCCCAGTTCAGAAGTCACCTCCTCTGTGAAGACTTCCAGGATGGCACCCTTCCCTGCCCCCAGAGCAATGACAGCCGCAGTGACAGCAGATCTGCGTCTCCAGAGCTCCATCCCCACAGCCAGCACCGCATGAATCATGCAGCCTTGTGATTCACATGTGTACAGTCCTCCCACCAGACCCTGAACTTGGTCAGGGCAGCATATGTGGTTGATTCATCCCTGGGGCCCCTGTGCTGGGCGCAGAGCCTGGCATGGTGTGGCAGGGGTGCAGGCTATTTGAGGAAGCGACCGGAGGTTGGTAGGGCCCAGCTCAAGTAGGGCCTTGTGGAAGACCTCAGTTTCCTCCTCTCTAAAGGACAGAGGGCTTAGAGCAGAGTCTGAGGGTTTTCAGGCCTGACATGCTGAGCGTCTAAGAATCTCTATTCTAAGAAATAGACCTGGGCTGTGTGAGGTACCCTTTTTGGAAGATGTGAAAGATGGCTGCCTAGAGTCCCCCAAAGGCTTAAATCTGGGTGGACCTCCTGGGTGGTCTATCTCGGACATCCTTCTCAAGATGGGGGCCTCTTTTGGGCAGGCGGGTTTCAGGACCAATGCGCTTTGTGACGGTGCCTCTCAAGACAGTCACAGCCTGGGTGGGCCATATCAGCAGAGTCCCCACTGGGGGCTGTCTATCTCAGAGGAGCCCCTCCCGGGCCATCCATCTAAGGACAGGTCCCTCCTGGATTCCCCGGGGCCAGGCTGGGTGGGCTGCGCCTCTCTCACCCGCAGCTGGTCCTCGGGCAGGTCGCTACCATTGTTGATGCCGCGGTTCATGGACACAAAGCGCTCAAAAGGCGGCCTGTCCCGGACGTTGGGATTGTGGAGGCTGGTGTTGAGCATGATGATGGAGAAGGACAACACGTAGCAGGTGTCTGCGGAGGGGACAGCGGTCACAGTTCTGGCCCTGGCCACTCTCCCTGCCTCTGTCCCGGCCCCTTCCAGGGCCCAGAACTGCCATTGCAAGGCCCCGAAGGTCCACCTTGTCCTCCTGGCTTGGGCTTTGAGGCCCAGCCTCCTCTCCCTTCCCACTCTTGCTGGTCCCCACCCCCTCTTAAACTAACCTCAGCCTCTTTTTCTGAGCCCCTTCCTACCTCCGCGCGTACGCTCCTGCTGGATCCCCTGCCAGGCCTGCCCTTCCTTCCCTCCTCTCCGCTTCAATCCTCCTTCTCGCTCAGCCACGGCTCAGGACCTCCTCCCCGCAGAGCCCTTCCAGCCCCCTGCCCACTCTGTTCTCTGCCTCTCGGAACTCGGAGAAGAACACTCATTGTTAGCGGCACTGTTCAGGGCTGAGCCACTGCTGCTCTGTAATCTTGCTGGCGTTCCTCCTGAGCCCCAGCGCCTCTCCCATTATTCAGACTTTCAAGCACTCAGGAGGGAGGGCTGGGCTGATGGCTGGGGAGGGAGGTAATTGCTACTCTGGCAAGGTCTTTTGTCGAGTATTTGGGCCCTGGATCCAGAGCCAGGGAAGTTCAGCTGCATCTTCAACTCTCTGGTTGACCTTGGGAAGTACTTGACCTCTCTGACCTTCAGCTTCCCCATCCTTGACATTCAGAGGTTAATCTTTGAAGTAACTGCCTGTTCTGGAACATCAATGTTTCCATCTCTGATAGCAGTGGCACCGAGCGTTGTTGGTGCTTGCCCTGTGCTAAGCTCTCACATCCCCATGCCCATCCTATGAGGCAGGTCTTGTTATCACTCCCATTTTACAGATGAGGAAACCGAGGCACAGGAAGTTAAGCTATATGCCCAACATTACAAAATTAAGAAGTAATTGGACCGTGATTCAAATCTGGTGCTTTAAGATGCCTTCTTTCCTACCTACAACTATTTATTGAGTACATACTCTGTGCTGTGGGCCTGGGAGTCACTGATGATGGGTCTGACAGGGTCCCTGCCCTTGCAGGACATTTAGACTTGTGACAGATAATAAACAAGCAAACAAACACTAAATTAAGATCTAACCACAAAGTAGGGCAAATGTTCTGGAAGGTTTGTCCATGGACACAGCCAGGAGGCGGCGTGCTCGCAGACAAGTCATTTTATCTCTCTGAAGCTATATTCCATGCGTGAGGGAGGGATAAGAAGACTACTGACCTCAAACGGTTGATGTATGGATTGAGTAACTTTGGCTTGGCATGGTGGCTCACGCCTGTAATCTCAGCACTGTGGGAGGTCGAGGCGGGCGGATCACCTGAGGTCAGGAGTTCGAGACCAGCCTGTCCAACATGGTGAAACCCCGTCTCTACTAAAAATACAAAAAATTAGCCAGGCATGGTGGTGGGTGCCTGTAATCCCAGCTACTTGGGAGGCTGAGGCAGGAGAATTGCATGAACCTGGGAGGCGGAGGTTGCAGTGAGCTGAGATCACGCCATTGCACTCCAGCCTGGGTGACAGAGACAGACTTTCTTTCTCTCTCAAAAAAAAAAAAAAAAAAAAAAAAAAAGGATTGAGTGGCTTTGCCTGTGTAAAGCACTCAGCGCATAGGGATTACTCAATATACAGGGTTGGTTATTGTTGTTATGACAACTAGATCCAGAGAAGAGGCCAGGATGGTCCCTCGCCCACCCTGTCCTCTGGATGTCTTCACATGGGCATTGGGTTAGCCCTGGGAGAGAGGGCTATGGAGGACTGACCTTTATGTATCTCCTTCTATGCCCCTTTTGCCCCCTACACCCTGCCCAGGCTGTTTCATGTTTCTGGGCCTTTGTTCCAACTGAAACTCCTGCCAAAAAGGCCCTTTCTCCCCTTAACCTCCTGGAAAACTCCTACTCATCCTTCAAAACCCCATTCAGACCTCACCGCCTCTGAGAAGCCATCTTGGACATGCTGATTCCCTTACTCCTGCCCTCAGAAAGGGGTGCTGCTGCCTTAGCCTTAGCATCCTGTGCCATCGTCTCCTGACTGCTCTCCTAAGAACTGTGTCTCAAGGCAGCTCTGTCAGACAAGCACCCAGCAGCAATGAAGTCAGTGCTCAGTGAGGGCTCATGAAGGGGTCTGGGCTGCCAGGGTCTGGGTACCTGGGGGAAACCTGAGGGGGTCTGTGAAATCTATGCCTGGCAATGCTGAAGGGGTCCCGGAGCCCTGGGTCCCACTCCCCTCCTGGCACCTGTGGACTGGAAGACGCCTGGGTTGCAGAGGCAGTATCGAGTGGCAAAGGCCTCCATCATCCGGTCTATCTTCTGGGCCTCGCCCGGCAGCCGGAAGCTCCACAGGAACTGCCTGGGGGAGAAACGGGGCCACGGGCAGTGGAGTGGGTGGGCCCTCGCGGGCCCCAGACAAGCTGCCCTGCCTCTCCCAGGTTTAGTCTCTGTATCCTGTAAATGGGGGAATCTGCAACTGTCATCTGGGCTGACGGGGAAGTGGGATGGGCACCAGGGAGCCCCAAGCACGCGGGAGGTAGCCAAGAAATGCCTTTTCTTGCAGAATACGGAACTAAGCACACGCCCCGCTCTGCAGGTCTGAATCCCAGCACTGACTGCAGCCCAGTCTGCCTCAGCTGGGAAGGGGGACGGCCTCTGCCTGCCCCGGGGTCTGTGGCTCCCCGCACCTGGCCTTTGGGCCCTGAGATCTGGCTGTGGGACCTAGTTGGGGAAGAGGTGGGGCAGGGGTTTTGCCTTGCTAGGGCTCCCTTTCTTGGAACCTCGACTTCCCTCTAGCTCTGGAAGTTGGTGGTTTCGACAGCTTCAAGCTAAGTTCTCTGAAGGTGAGAACTGGGCCTGTATCTCTCACTTCTCCTCCTGGGCTTCACACAGTCCTGGGCACCTAGCAAAGGCTCAGTAAATAAGTGAATGAATGAATGAATATGTGAATGAATGAATGAAAGAATGAATATGGGAGACTCCCAAGTCACCTACCCCTCTCCCTTAAAGAGCTGGGAGTTAGAGAACACTGGATGGTGGTGGCTTCTTCCTTCTCTGTATTGTGAACTCCTACTCACCCTCCAAAGCCCAGATCAGATGCTCCTTCTCGGAATCTGAGTTTTCAAGCAGCATCAAGACTTACTAAGCACTCACTGTGGACCAGTTTTAAACACTTTCCCATTTAGTCTTCACAACCCTGTGAAGTTGGTACTATTATTATCCCCATTCTACGGATGAGGAAACTGGGGCACAGGAAGGTTTATTTATTTTTTTGTGAGACAGAGCCTCACTCTGTTGCCCAGGCTGGAGTGCAGTGGTGTGATCTTGTCTCACTACAACCTCCACCTCCCAGGTCCAGGTGATTCTCCTGCCTCAGCCTCCCGAGTAGCTGGGATTACAGGCGCCCGCCACCACGCCCGGCTAATTTTTGTATTTTGTGCATGTGTATGGCTTGCTTAAGGTCACACGGGGGTGAGCAGCAGAGCTGGGATTTGAACTGTATAGTCTGGCTCCAGAGTTTGTGCTTCAAACTGATAATTGGACTGCCTCTGCAGTTGTAAAAATGAGTACCAAAAACAGTACCCTAATTAGAAGCTAATAAGTCATAATAATTGGAATACATGCTAAGCAGTCTTATAAAATAAATAAAACATGCACTAATCCAAAAAGTAGGAGAATGACCATAATAAAGTAATAATGATTAGAATGATTAAATATGGGCATGATAGAATTCTAACTAAGAAGGCAGTATTTGCTATTTGCAAGGAACTAGGCCCTTTCCCAGGCGGTCCAGCTCAGCTCTGTGAGGCAGTACTATCATGAAGTCATTCTTGTTCCTTGCCTCCTCTTCTTTGCTCCCAACCCTTTGTTTGTGCTGTCAGCTATGTGGATCGCGACACCCCCAGCCACTGGGGCTGTGCCACCCTTGAGGGCCGGGACCCTGCCCCAGGACTACTCACCTGAGGGCCTGGACGAGGTTGAGGTTGGCGAACTCGTGGCAGTCCACGAAGGCCTGGAGGACCTGCAGGTTGATGGGATCCCTGGGGGAGGAGGCGGAAGGGAGGGTGGGACACACTTGGATACTTGCTGGCACCCACCTCCTGGAGGGGGTTGAGGTGGGGGAGGGAGAGGACAGAGACATCTGTCCTTCTGGGGTCCAGCTGCCATCTGGTGTGTTCACATCTGTCCCACCCATATCACACCCTGAGGGCACACCCTTGTCCTCCCATGCAGGAACACACACCTTCACGGCTCACCAGCGCTGGTCTGGCCTGGGAGGGGAGCCCTGGCTTTGGAGCGGCCTTGCCCTCAGTCCAGGCCTTCCTCATTTCCTGTAACTTCCCACCTGGTGACCTCGCGGAAGCCACTTGACCTTCCCAGCCCCAGCTTCCTCATCTGTACAAGGGAGAGAAGCTGACCTCCCCCATCTCCTCCCTCTCCCCAGCTCCTGAAGCAGGAAGGTGCCCTTCTCACCGTCTGCATCCCCTGCTCACCGCGGGAGGGAGGGGTGTCCTTGGGAGCTGGGGAGAGGGCTGTTGACTCTCTGGTCCAGCTTCACCCCTATCCACTCGCCCACCCCTCAGACCAGTCCTTTGCCCAGAGCGCTCCCACAGATCCCCACCTCCTCGCCCACAATATCCTTCCTCTCTCCTCCCGTCCAGTCTAGATTCTTGAGCCTGTTTCTGACCCCAGGGCCTTTTTACTTGCTACTCCTGGACCGCTCCTCCCCCAGATGTCTGTACTGCTCATGCCCTCACCTCTTTTACGTTTTGGTCAAATGTCACCTTCTCCATGAGACCCTTCCTGTCCACGCTATTCTAAATCACAGCCCCCAACCTATGGTCCCCAGCATGTCTTTCTTTCTTTGTTTTCTTTTCTTTTCTTTTTTTTTTTGAGACGGAGTCTCGTTCTCAATCTGTTGCCCAGGCTGGAGTGCAATGGCGTGATCTTGGCTCACTACAACCTCCGACTCCCAGGCTCAAGCGATTCCCCTGCTTCAGCCTCCTGAGTAACTGGGACTACAGGCACCTGCCACCACATCCGGCTAATTTTTGTATTTTTAGTAGAGACGGGGTTTCACCACGTTGGCTAGGCTGATCTGGAACTCCTGACCTCGCGATCTGCCTGCCTCGGCCTCCCAAAGTGCTGGGATTACAGGCATGAGCCCCGAGCCTGGCCGGTCCCCAGCATTTCTGACTTCCCTTCCCTGCTCGATTTGTATTCCACAGAGCTTATCATTCTCTAACATATTTTACAACTATTGAGACCTGTCTCTCCCACTAGCATGGACTTCCTGAGGACAAGAGTTTTGTCTGTCTTATTCACTGGTGTACACCCAGGGCTTAGGATGGTGCCTGGAACACAGTAGACCCTGAGCAACATTTATTTGTTGAATAAATGACTAAATGAATGAAGGCAGTCAGGCTTTGACTCAGAATCTGGAGGGGATGATCCGTGAGCCCCTCAAGCACTAGGAGTGATGACTTTGCTAACATAATTCATCCTCTCACCTGCACATCCACACACCTGTACACACCTGCACACCTTCATTTCCTGCCTCGCTAAGGCTCCACTCGTTCTTACCTCTCCCCCAGGTAGGTACCAATGGCTGTCTTGTTGAGGCCCTCGCCTTTATACAGGAACCGTGCAATGTCCTGGACGTCAGGGGTCAGCAGCTTGTGCTCAATGAAATACTGGATACCCTGGAGGGGGTACACAGAAGCCGTGAGCAGCTGCTGCATGGAAGCAGGCCTGGGAGGGGGAAGGGAGGAAGGAGCTTCCATGGCCAGAATCCTGGAGCCTGGCATTCTGGTGTTGGCACAGTCTGTTCTGGGAAGTTTTGACCCCTCTTTCATAGGAGCTGCCTTTGGGAGGTGATGAGTTCCCCATCACTGGAGGCATGCAAAGAAAGTCAGCTTTCCTGCCATGAACCAGGTTCATGCCAGGTACTCCCCAGGGTCCCCCTCAGTCTGACATTCTTTGATTATATGCTTCAGTGACTCTAGGAATTTGTGATTCTGAGATTCAATGATTCAGCCATTTCTTTTGTTCCCCTAAAACTCATATTATTTAAAAATAGCGTTTCATTCTTTCACACAAGTAATCTATGTCTATTGTATAAAAGTTAGAAAAACCAGCTCAATCCAAAGGGGAGGAAATTGCCCGGGCCCTACCGCTCGGAGGCAGACAGCTTCCATCGTGGTGACCTTCCTTCCCTTTCTATGTGAAAATGGGCTCAGACCATGCCTGTCACATTTAAATCTGTTTTTCGGATTTGACAATATCACAAGCACCTCTCCTCACCACCAAGGCACTCAGAGTTTGTCATCCTAGTTTTAGGAGTTGGAGGGGTTGGTCTCTGGCTCTCCGTGAAGATTCCTCTGTGTTCCACTGCTGGAAGTTGGGCACAGGCCATGAGGGCCCAGTGACAGGCAGAGGATGCAGAGGACACCCCTGGGTGCTGGGTGGGGTGAGAGTGTGAGCCTGCGGGGGTCTCTGTGGGTAGGAGCAGGAGTCCAAGGGTCTGTAGCCATGAGAGGTGAATGGTTATAACACTTTGGGCCTGTGATGGGGACAGGGAGCCTTCTAAGCCAGAGCGGTAAATTTCCAGGGACCCCAGCTTGGTGCTCTCTGCTGGCCACCTGACCCCACCTCGGTGTGTCTGCCTGCGGTTTCCTTCTGTCTCCGTCCTTTCAGGATGGAAGCCCAGCTGCCACCTGGTGGGGTGAGGCCAGGGGCTTGGGAGTGGTGTGGGGGATCGAGGTAACCCAGCCCTGAGCTGCTGCTCCTACTAGCAGAGGGGTGGGTGGTGGGACCGCAGGACTGGCCCTCCCTGAGCCCAGGGCTGGAAGATGCTTCTGGAGCCTAAGCCCCAGATCCAAGAGCTCCACTGTCCCAAGCCACATTCATGGAGAAGGAAATGGAGGCCCAGAGTGGGGAAGGGACTAGGCCAAGTGCATGGACACCGTGGCCTCCTCCATGCTCCTGGCTCCTCCTGCCCCAAGGCGTGTATGCCTGGGAGTAGACAGGGCGCCCAGCCACAGCTGGCCATGGGGCACTGGACAAGATGCTCAGCTCTGCTGGGCACAGCTTCCTCCTCTGGAAAGGGGTCGTGTCAGCCGAGGGGAGCGAGAGGACACCAGGCAGGTGCTCCCATGCAGCCCCCACACCCTGTGGCCCGGGCCCTCCACAGCCACCTACCTTGGCGGGGTCCATGTTGAACTTCTTGCGCCCAATACACAGCTCCTTCTCCTTCTGGGCCATCCGGCTGTGGACATGAGGACGTCAGCTTGGGCTGCCCCAGGACCCTGAATTACCCTCTCCACTCCCCAAGGACCCTTGCCTCAGCAGGAGCCCATACCCCTCTAGGGCCCTCCAAGTGTGGCCTCCGGGTCCTGCATGGGAACCACCTGGGCGGGAGAGAGCAGTGCAAGGCCTGGCTCCTCCCAGAGCTCTGCAGCTGACTTCTCTGATGGGCCCAGCACGGGCATTTAGCAGCTTGCAGGAACCCGGAGCTGCCGTGTGGGAGAAGGTGGAGGGGCCCTGTGCAAGAAACCGGGGGAGGGGGCGAGGGCTGAGCACGCAGGTGCTGGAGCCAGGCTCCTGGATGCGAATCTGAGCCGGGCTGCTTTGGGCGAGTCACTTCCTCTCTCTGGGCCTCAGGTTCCTCATCTATAAAATGGAGGTGATACCACCACCTGCCTCCCAGCATTGTTGAGAGGTTAAAGCACCTAAAACAGTGAGGCGTAGGTGTGTTATGTTGTCATTGTTGTGGCTGGAACAGGGGAGCTGGAGAAACGGCCACTCGTGTGTGTGCATGCTTGTGTGTGTGTGCATGCTTGTGTGTGTGTGCATGCTTGTGTGTGTGTGCATGCGTGTGTGTGTGTGCATGTGTGTGGTGGGGGAGGGGAGGAGGCTGGACAGGTGGAGACCTAAGGAGTGGCGGGCGCAGGATGGGAAATTGCCAGGACATCGTGTGTCAGAGTCAGTGCACTGGGGCCTTAGGAGACTGTGTAGCAACCAACCTTCTTGTTGCACAGATGGGGAAACTGAGACCCAGAGAGGGACAGGATCTGTCCCAGATCACAAAATAGTGGGAGTTTTCCACAGAGGCGGTGGGCGTGGCTGGCCCGGGGTTAGTGGTGAGTGGGGTGGGGTAGGGCCAGGCTCCTGTCCTCCTGGGGCCCTGGGCTTCCTTGTCCTTGCCCTTGGGGCTGAGCTTCCCTTCTCCCCGCCCATCCCAGGGTGGATGTGGCCAGTGATCGGTCAGGGCTGGACCACAGTGGGTCAGGAGAGACTTTGGGTTGGGGGAGGGGAGGACGCAGTGTCTCTCAAGAGAGGGTCAGCCTGGGAGCAGGGACCAGACCCGGGATGGGGCCGGGGCCACCCTGTTCCGGTCTCGTTGCTGCCTCCTTCTCCCTGGCCAATCCCTGATTTCACCAGGTCCAGGGGGCTGGGAGTGGCCCCTGCTCATTCAAGGTGTATGACATCCTTGGGAAGCAACCATGGCAGTTTCTGGGGGTCCCCACCCAAGCCCCTCACCTCTCCTCCGCACTCTCGAAGCAGTCGATTTGGGCAAACACATCTGCAATCTCATCCTTCAGCTTCTGTGGGGTGGCAGGGGCAGGACAGGGAGAGTCAGGGGTGGAGGCCAGAACCCCGGGGGTTTGAGACCACAAGGACCACTCCTACCCCTGGGCACGACTCTCAAACCTGGCCCCTCTCCCTGACCTCTGTCCTGAGTCCCCAGTCTGAGGGACCCTCCATGGACAGGTCCCCTCCCTGGATGTCTCATAATTTCTAAGTCGCATGCTAAACTATCACCTCTGTCTGCACCCATGCCTCCACTTGTCTTGGGGAGTGGGATTCCCCAAGCCCCCATCCCTTGCCCATCCTTTTTCCAACCTTCCCATCTCTCCTCTCTGCAGCCATGAAGTCTCCTGCACTCTAGCCGAGCCTACCCGACAAGCCGGCCTCCCCACTGCCCACCTCCCCCAGCCCACCTCCACCCTGCCCGCCTCCACCCTGCCCACCTCCACCCTGCCTGCACCCCCCGCCCGCCTCCACCCTGCCCACCTCCCCCAGCCCACCTCCACCCTGCCCGCCTCCACCCTGCCTGCCTCTCCCGGCTGGTGTCTTTCTGGAGCACTGCATGGAGCCTGCCCTTCCCCTGCTCAAACCCCTCCCATGGCTCCCTACTGCTTCCTCAGCTTCTCTCTGGCTTTCCTCCATTTACTATGTTGCTCACCCTTGACTAAGTGCCCGCTATGTGCCTGCCAGGTACTACGGGGACACCACGCACAGGCAGCCTAGGCCCTCTTTCCAGGGACTTTGCAATTCCCCTGGACTTTACAGAAGAGGACACTGAGGCGTAGAGAGATGACACGACACGCCCGCAGTCTGACTCCAAACCTGTGCTTCCCCCAACTCGACCCCAAGCCCATTTCATCTTGACCCTGCAGGAGGCACCCAGTGGCAGAGGGGACCCCCTAACACCTCCCCCTGCCAACCACCAGCACCCCCTGAAGGACACCAGCATGAGCCTCTGGCCGGCACCCCCATTAGGCACCCAGCCCCTTTCTCCCCAGGATCTGCAGGGTGCTGGTGAGGGGCTGGTTCCAGGGACTTGTCCTGAGACTCAGGGCCAGCATGGGACTTGGGAGCCTGTGTCTGAGCCGTGTCAGCTCCTGTTCATGCCATCTTGGCAGAGCCACTGAGTGGTTGCCCCACAAATACAATGGGGATTCATTTGCAAGTATTAACTGAGCACCTATTAATGCTGCACCCAGCGGGCTGGGGATGCAGTGGTGGGCAAGACAGACCTCGGCTCTGTGTTCATGGAGGGCACAGTCTGGTGGGGCTGGGATCATGGGTGGTCATAGGGTAATTGGAATGACTATGCAGAACACCATCAGAGCAAGGTAGAGAAATCCTGGCATATAGTAGGTGCTCAATGAAACAGCAGCTGAGTGAATAATTTTGTGCCTTCATTTCCTCACTGAAATCCTAAGTTTATGTGCATGGGAGTGGGGGTGGGCACAGCCACTGCAGCCCAGGCAGAGGGGACTGCGAGTGCAAAGGCCCAGGGGCAGTGCTGAGCAAGGCACGTTCCAGGAACAGAACCCAGCCTGTCTCAGAAGCTGCTGACCCAGATGAGCTGACGTCTGAGTCTGATTGGTGAAGTGGTAAGTGCAGGGCACATACTGGGAGTTATCTTGACCAGGTGGTCTACACTCTGCAGGGGTGAGACCTGGCTGAAGCTTCACCACAGGGGTCAGAGCCTGCCCTGTGACAAAGCAAGTAAAGGCCAGGATGAGGATCGGCACACGGTGGGCGCCTAATTGGATCGCTGCCTCCCTCCCCGGCTCTCCCAGTTCTCCCTGGGTCTCGGGGTGTCTGCAGTCTTGTTGTTCTCCCTGCTCCTGGGGCTGGGGCCGAGGCTGATATGAGCCAGAGTTGGCCACACTGTCTGTTGACCAGGCTGGGTCAGGAGCTGGTGGGGTGCGTACAAGCGTGCAGGAGTGTGGGCATGGACACGTGTGTGGACACGAGTGTGCACTCACCTGGATGTCCTCCAGGAGCTGCTTTCGGTGCCACTTGATCCTCTGTAACTCTTCCGTCTCCCCGCTGCTCAGCTCCGCGGGCTCTACAGAGAGACAACCGGCCTTCCCCATCACTTGGCTCCAGCCACACCCACTTGCCCTCACTTCTGCAGGGCCCCCTTCCCTCCGGAAACCCAGGACTTGCCCTATTCACAGAGGCCCACCTCCTCCAGGAAGCCTCCCCTGACTGCCCTGTCTAAAGCAGCCCCTGCTCCCTCCTCTCCTGCCCTGCTTCCTGTTTCTCCCACCCCCCTGGATAGACACCCCCAAAAGGATCCTGTTTCCTTGCATCTTTTCTGTCCCTCCCGCTAGACTCTCGGCTCCATGAGAGTTCAGTTGTTCTACTCTTTTGCTCACTACTGTGTCCCCAGCACCTAGAAAGAGTCTGACATGTCATAAGCACTCAGTTAAACACTCGCTGAAGGCACGCATTCCTTCCCCGGAACTTGAATCTCCTCCTCCACTGGCTCATGGGCTCATTATTTATTCACTTATTTATTTGAACAACCAAGAAGTGGTATACCATTTTCCTCACATCCCATTGGCCAGAATGTAGTCACGTGGCCACACCTAGCTGCAAGGGAGGCTGGGAAATGAGCCTGTAGCAGGGTGGTCCTGATGTCCTTACTGTGTAAAATGGGGAGGCTGGATTTGGGGGATATTTTATAGTCCCTGCCCCTGGATACTGGGGCTCAGAGAGGTGAGGTGACTCAACCCACAGGGAAAAGGTCACTGAGCCAGGATGGGACCTTGAATTGGGCTGACTCCAAAGCCTGTGCTCTTTCATCTCCACTTGGAAATGAATTAAATGAAATAAGATTTGTGTGTGCGGCATTCTATGCAAGGTGCTGTGATGATGCCCACAACTAGGTCAGCTGTCCTATCTTCATGCTTCATGGTGGCTTCTGTTTCATCCACAACACTCTCCTTCTCTGAGTAATATGGCCTCCCTATTACTCAGAGAGAAAGTCTTCATCCTGGGCCTGGGGCCTCCACAACCTCTCCAGCCTTGGCAGCCAGACTTATTCCCTGCCATTCCCAAAAAGAGCCTGCCAGTCCAGCCTGCCAGCTCCTTCCTGCTCCAGAGCCATCCAGGACTCAGTCCCACTTCCCCATGTTTGCCCAGGCCGCTCCTGTACTCTGGGATGCCTTCTCCTGTCTGCCTGCCCAAATCCTCGCTGACCTTCAAGTTCCAGCGTCGGGAAGTGCCTGGCCGCATTTCTTAAAGGTTTTACAAGGATAGACATCATTTCCTCCAAAAGAACACAGAGGGAATGTTGAGCGCTCCCTTTCCCTACTTCTCCTTCTCATGATTAAGCAGGCATTGTGGCTGTTGAGATTAAAGCCCCATGCGGAGATGCAGGGCACCAGGCTAGATGGAGCCCAGGTCCCCAGGCAGCGGTGTGGAGAAGACTCATCATGTTCACCTGGCCCACCTATCCATTTGGACTTTTCAATAAGAAATAAATCAGTTTTGAGAATGTTTCGGTTGCTGTTATTCTGAGTCTCTTTAAGCAGCTAAATCTGAGATATACCTAATACAGCATCCTCATCTGTGAAATGTGAACCATAACCCTTGCCTCACAGGGCAGCTGTCAGGAAGGAAAGAGCTACACTTTGTCAAACACCCAGCAAGAATCCAACATATGCTGAGTCCCACATGTGTGCAATGGGTGCTGTGTGCATCTGGCTCTTCTCTTCAGGACCAAGGCACCATCCCCCCAGCTGCTGGGAGGAAAGCCTGCTGATGGCTCACAGCTGAATCCCTCCCCAGACACTAGCCTCAGCCAAAGGGAGGTGCCACGCCCAGGAGTTCCCCTGACCAAGGGCAGCCACTGCAATAAAAAGCCAAGTCCCGGTCAGGCAAGGTGGCTCACGCCTCTAATCCCAGCACTTTGGGAGGCCGAGGCGGGCGGGTCACGAGGTCAGGAGATCGAGACCATCCTGGATAACACAGTGAAACCCCATCTCTACTAAAAATACAAAAAATTAGCCAGGCATGGTGGTGGGCACCTGTAGTCCCAGGTACACCGGAGGAGGCTGAGGCAGGAGAATGGCGTGAACCTGGGAGGCGGAGCTTGCAGGGAGCCCAGATCATGCCACTGCACTCCAGCCTGGGCAACAGAGTGAGACTCTGTCTCCAAAACAAAACAAAACAAAACAAACAAAAAAACCCAAGACCCCTTGCCTGGTTTCAGGACCTACCCCAGTTTTCAGATACAGAACGTCGGGACTGAAGGAGAGGCTGGGTTCCAAGGGAAGAGTCCTGCAACATTGTGGCAAGTATATATGGCAATGACTCCCTGGTTCCACATTAAAACACCTGTGGCCATTCACTCCAACAACTGTACACTGGGGAAAGAGCAATATCCAAACATTCTGAGGATTGTTGGACACAGGATCCAAGTTGACATCAGCGCTCAAGACTGAAGTGTCTTCAGGGCCACATTTGAGTGGGGGTACATAGAGACCAGGTGGTAAATGAAGTCCTTCCAGGTCCAGCTCACTAGGGGTCTGCTTGATTCATGGCCACTTTCCTGGCCTACAGATGTAGAATTGGAATGGACATCGCTGGTACTTGAGCCCATATTGGTACCTTGGCCCATGGGGTCAGGATCATTGTAGTGGGAATAGCTATTTGGAAATTTATGAAGCTGACCCATCATCCCCACAGCGAAGAGACTAAATAAAAAACTATATCCTGAGGGGAATGGCAGGTGTGGGTGCCACTCTTGAGACCTAACGGATGCAGGAGCAATGGCCCTCATCACATACCCAAGCACTTCCCCGGTCGGGAGGATGGCCTGCTCCTTCCAGCTGCTTCCTTCTAGCAGAGAATTATATACTATGCAGAAAACAGTTCCTGGAATGGCACCGGGTCCTGGTAGAGATAGAGTGCCAGCCCACGGAACATCATGTAACTAAGTAGCTCAGATGGCTCCATCTGTCCCACTAAGTCAGAAGGTCAAGCGAGCCCAATAGTAACCCTTTGTGAGTGGTACGTCCAGGAGCAGGTGTGAGCAGAGCCAGAGGGCTCCAGTAGGCTCCAGGGATAGGTGGCCCAGATCCTCATGTCACCGCTGCTGGTGGACCAGGGTCTATCCCTCTGCTTACACCGTGACCACATGGGTGGGTCCCTTATGACTTTCTAACAACAGAGGAAAATGCCCAAGGCTGGTTGCAGAATGAGTTGGCTCAGAGTTTGGGCGCAAGTGAAAACCAGGCAGCTACTGAACTACAGTCCTGCTCAAAGGTGTCCTGGAAAGACAGTGATGAGGGCAAGTCCTCCCAGGGGGCAGGGCTTCAGGCAGGGCACCTGGCCATCCACTTCCTGTGGAAAGAGAAGTGACTTCTTGAAGTCAGAATATCCATGCATCATGGGCAGTGGTGAATGGCTTGACTTCTTGGTCAGAGGCAAGAAAGAAGGAAGATGGGAAGATCAGAAACACAGATGTCAGGAGAAGAGGCAGGTGGATGACCCCGTGGGAGCGGAATGTCCACTCTGCCAGCAACAGGGACGCATGCTGAGCCCATCTTTTCTCCAGAAGACCAGGGGGCAAACTGATTCCATGAAACCCCTTCTATTCTGCAAAAGTCAACAATCCATCTTGTCTGGAGTCGACACGTGTTGGAAATGTGTTTGCCTTTCCTGCCCACAGAGCCTCAGCCAGCACCACTATCCAGAGGCTTAGGGTGTTTGACCCACCAACACAGCACACCACATAACATCACAGAAGACCAAGGGATGCTCTCTACAGCAAAGGTGGTCTGAAGTGAGCACGTGGCCATGAGATCCACCGATCCTCTCTAGCATTTCATCGGAAGGTGCTGGCCGGATGGAATGGAGCCATGGGGCGGTCTTGAGAAGGTACAGCTGAGGTGTCAGCCTGGAGGTGATATCCACTTGGATGGGGCGCCATCCTCCAGGAGGCACCATATGCCCTAAATCTACCACCACTGTGTGGTGCTCTGTCTCCAGCAGGTGGACCACAAGGGTCTACGAGCTGAGGGGTAGGAGTGGGAGTGGCCCCACCTGCCATTCTCCTAGTGACCCACTCTGGAGTTTCCTTTTTTTTTTTTTGAGACAGTCTTGCTCTGTCACCCAGGTTGGAGTGCAGTGACATGATCTTGGCTCACTGCAACCTCTGCCTCCCAGGTTCAAGCGATTCTCCTGCCTCAGCCTCCCCAGTAGCTGGGATCACAGGCATGCACCACCATGCCCGGCTAATTTTTTATTTATGTATTTATTTTTTTGAGACAGAGTCTCACTCTGTCACCAGGCTGGAGTGCAGTGGCACGACCTTTGCTCACTGCAACCTCTGCCTCCCGGGCTCAAGGGACTCTCCTGTCTCAGCCTCCTGAGCAGCTGGGACCACAGACATGAGCCACCATGCCCAGCCAATCTCTGTATTTTTAGTAGAGATGGGTTTCACCATGTTGGCCAGGATGGTCTTGATCTCTTGACCTCACAATCTGCCCACTTTGGCCTCCCAAAGTGCTGAGATTACAGGCGTGAGCCACCGCACTGGGCCAATTTCTGTATTTTTAATAGAGACGGGGGTTTCACTATGTTGGCCAGGCTGGTCTCGAACTCCTGACCTCAGGTGATCCACCTGCCTTGGCCTCCCAAAGTCCTGGGATTACAGGTGTGAGCCACTGTGCCCGGCCCACTCTGGAGTTTCTTTCTGTCTCTGCAGGTCTAGAGGTACTGTTTCCAGGAGGGAGTTGGCGGGGACACTTATACCAGGGGACAAAGCAAGAGTCTTATGACCCGTTAAGCGCACAAACACCTACTCCATGCCAGTCTCTGTATAACTGCTGTCATTTAACCCTCTTTGAAGTAGGTATTTTCCAGTTTGAGACACTGAGGCTTAGGAAGGCGAAGTGACTCGCCCCAGGTCTCATTCACAGGAAGTGGCAGTGCTGGGAACTGCACCCTTGTTTGCTGACCCCCACGCCTCTGCCCCAGGAGAGGTGGATTCCCAAACTGCTTGGGACATGCAGGGATGGAAGGTGTAAGGGGCCACCTGTGTGGAGATGCAGAGCAGGGACAGCCGGGGAGGCAGTGCTGGAAGCTGGCTCCGGAACTCTTCCGGCAGGAGCTGGCGGGGAGGCCGTTGGTCTCATCCATGGGAAAAAACCAATCACCTTGGGTTGCCTTGGAGGTGAACAATCCGATTCTGTTTTGTTTTGTTTGTTGGCTTTATACAGTTTTCCTGTTGGCTTGGGGTTGTGTTTCTGCCCAGGGCGCACCTGCTGGAGGAGGCTGAGTGGATTCCAGACTGGCTGCTTGTCTGAGAGAAGCCAGGGTGGGCTCCAGCATTCCTACAGATGCTCCAAGGTGTGGATGGCCAGAATTGAGTGATGGGGCTCCTGAAGCTCCTCCTAGGCCGACCTTCCTGGTCCCCATGGGGCTTCATCAGCTCCTGGCTCCCACCTGCCTTCAGGGTCCAGGGAATCATTCACACATCCTCTGTTCCAGCCCCTTCTCTGAGCTTCAGATCCAACCATCCCCTATGTATTGGTCACCACCGCTCTTGTCATTGTGCCCAAAATTGAACTTCTAGAATGCCCCCTCCTCCCCATCCTCTTCCTGAATTCCTGAGCTCTGGAAATGGTCCACATTTCCCCAGGAGGCACTCTGACTCCCACCTGGCTGTCACCCCTTGGGTCTCCTCCATCACCAAGTCCTGTCTATTTCTTTCCCCTTCCATGGCTCCACTGTCATCCCAGCCGCTATCGCTTTGCTCAGGGGGACTTCAGGGCTTTCGGATGCCTCCCTGCCTCTTCTACCCATTCTGGTCCAGTTTCCCATGGCATCCCATTGTCCTGGGGACAAAGACCCCAAATCTCACCAGTCCTGCTGGTGTATCCCCTCCATGCTCCTCTCACACTGTGCCCCTCCCCGTCCCAGCTCCGTGCTCTGCCTCCCTGGCTGCCCTTCATTCACTCCCCTGAGCTCTAGCCTTCCAAAAGCCTTTGCACCACCATTCCTTGTACCCAGAACGCCCTTCCTTCTCCTCTCTGCCAGCAGCCCCTCCTTATCTCCTACTTCAGATCCCTTTTCAGGGGTCCTCCTGGGTTCCATCTAGGAGCCATCCCTGCCCCCACCCCTTCCCATTCCCCACAGCGTTTCTGGGATCTGCATGGCTCAATAACCAAGCCACGCCGTTGGTTAAGGAAGGCATGGTGGCTGAGCACCCATGGTGCGCCAGGCCCTGTGTGATCCAGGCTCTTCCCATCCACTCTCATTGAATCCCACAACCACTCCGAAAGGAAAGGTACTTCTAAGCTCATCCTACAGGTGAGGCCCCTGAGACTCAGAGACGTGAAGTGTCCTGCCAAAGGTGACACAGCTGGAGGGTGGCAGAGCTGGGATTCACATCTGGGTCCATCTGGGGCTCGGAGGCTTACAGCCCTGATGTTGATCTTCCGAAGGCTGATCTCTCCATACGAACCATCAAACACCCGTCGGACGCTAAATCTGGGTTTCTGACGGGGTTACACGTTTCAGAATAAAGGCAAGATGCAGAATGATGCCTGCAGTTGCCCCCACCCAACCCCTGCAAAGCCAACTTTGCAGAGCTGGGGAAACTGAGGCACGGTTCCCAGGGGAGTGGGATTGCATGGGAATAGTGAGCAGGTTGCTTGTATTTTTACTGCATACAGCTCCTTTCATACTCCCTTCTGGTTGACAAGTGTGTTCGTGAATCCTCAGTCCCCTGTCCCCTTCTGACGGGGGTCCTGTCCCGAATAGGTGGCAACTGGTCAAAGCATCTGAACCCACATGAGGGTGATGATGGCCCCGGGCTTGCTGTGTCTTACATGGTGCACACGGAGCCTACTGACCCTTCCTCTATTTGTTAAAAAGAGGAGATTCCTCCCCATTTCAGAGTTTCAGGCACCGGTGTAGGCTCATGGGATATGTTTTTTTGTTTGTTTGTTTGTTTGTTTGAGACGATGTCTCTGTCTGTTACCCAGGCTGGAGTGCAGTGGCCTGATCTCGGCTCACTGCAACCTCCACCTCCCAGGTTCAAGTGATTCTCCTGCCTCAGCCTCCCAAGTAGCTGGGATTACAGGCGCCCACCACCAGGCCCGGCTAATTTTTTTTTGTATTTTTAGTAGAGACGGGGGTTTCACCATGTTGGCCAGGTTGGTCTCGATCTCCTGACCTCTGGTGATCCACCTGCCTTGGCCTCCCAAAGTGCTGGGATTATAGATGTGAGCCACCATGCCTGGCCAGGAGATGAATTTTTAAATACTAATAATAATACACACAAATAATAAAATTACCACCACCACCACCACCACCACACACCCCGTTTCCTTCTCACTTATCTCTGTGCTTCTCACAACCTCACAAGGTGTGACATGAACCCCCACCCCAAGCCCACAGGCTGGTGCTGCCCTTGCGCCCAGGCTGGTGAATGTGCCCATCTCCCCGGCTCCTCCCCACTTCCTCTTTGTCCTTCCTCTTTCCCATCGTATTTTTAGAAATCTTTGAGCTTGCAGCCCTGCTTCCAGGACAGCTGGCCTCACTTCCCCTTTCCAGGGCAGGAGGAGGATGCCATCTCAGGGCCCTAAATAAAGAGGCCCCTCAAAGTCTCAGTAGGAGGGACCCTGGGGCAGAGGGGGTGTGGGTGGAGCTGCTCCCCGCCCCAGCCCCACAAGCCCCACAGGCTCTGCGGAGTGCGGCTTCCTCCCCCGCCGCCCCCCCACCGCCCCAGCCGAGCTGGCTCTATTTTTAACTGCGCTGCCTGTCTTCTCTGCACCAGCACAGTGCTTGTCTTTGGCCACACTGGGGCTTTGCTGTCTGGCCCTCTCACCTTCCCGGCAGGCCCTGGGGGAGGGCGCCTTACCTGCTTCCCGACACAGGCCCACCTCAGGAGAGGAGGGGAGGCAGCCCTGGGGGCCCCTGAGTCACCAGCCTGTCCATAATAAAGGTGAGAAAACTGAGGCCCATAGAAGGAAGAGACCATGACCACTGGCAGGGTGGTGCAGAGCTGGAACCTGAGCGAGGTCCGGCTAACTCCCAATCCCCGCTTCCCCAGGCCAGGCCAGGATGATGGCACCCACGTAGAGATGACAAATCAGAACTCAGAGAGGGGAAGTCACCGTGCCATGAAGAAGCCCCATTTAAGACCCAGTCTGGGCAACAGGGAAATGACCTTTTCTCCCTCCCTCTGGCCTCCTCCTCAAGGAGGTCTTCCCAGATCTCCTCTGCCCCAGTGGGAAAAGTTGCTTCCTCCCATCTGTAGGTCTGTGTCCATTTGCACAGCTGGGTCAGGGTCCTGCAGGATGTGGCTCCTGCCTCTCCACCCCACCCCCAACATTCCAGACCAACACCTGTCCCCCAGGGTTAGGCCCATGGCTGGGTCACTGCTGTCCCCAGCACTGCATAGCACACTGGAAGGTCGTTTGTAGAGTGAATGAATGAAAAGACCAACTACTCGATGGAGAACCCATTGACCCCATTTAATCCATTTCCTCCCTAGTACCGGCTGAAGCAAAGCAGAGACTCCCCTCCCCTGCCCTCTCCATAGCCCCGGCCAACCTGGGGCTCTCTCCCGCAGGTTCTCGTCCCTGCTCTGCTGCTGACTGGCCGTGTGACCTCAAGCAAGTCAGTCCCCGTCTCTAGTTCACCTCTGGGAGCCTCAGTTTCCTTATCTGCAACATGGAGACAGCCATCCCTGTAACCTCAGTATGTTAGGACCCGAAAGGACAAAGCGCCCTGCTGGACACACAGGCAGGGGGGTTGCATCTCGGTGGGTGCCCTCCCCCCCTCATCCCACCCTCATGTCTGCTGAGAGGCCTGAGCCAGGTGCTGCCCTTCGCTGGGTCTCCCTGTGCCAACCAGGTGCCCCCAAGCTGTGCTCACTGAGCTGTGATTTTGGGAGCCCCCAAAGCCCATGGGAGAGGCAGGGGTCAGAGTGAGCCCTGGATAGGGATTCAGGGAACAGGATTTGGTCCTGCTCCTGCCTTAGAGAGGCTGTTTTCCTCCCTTGGCCTCTTTTCTCCCTTCTGCCACTGGGGGGGCTGTTGAAATGGATCAGTGGTTCTCTGGGTTCCCTGGGGCCCGAGGCTTCCATCTGGGGGTGGGGAGGAAGGGGGATGCCCAGTGGGCGGGGCCAGGCTGCTCCACATTAGGTGCGTTTGAAGCAAGGGTGCTCCTGGACAAGGCTGAGGTCATCTGGACCTGGGGAGCAGACAGCTCCCACGAGCCCTTAGGTTCTGGAATTCCAGCAGCCGTGTTCACCAGAACTGTTGCAGCTCTGGAGCATGCTGACATCCAGGGTGCAGAAACTTGGCCCCTCTACCGGGCCTTCAATTTGCCTCCCAAAACACGACCCTGATGTTCTTTTCCTCACCATCTTTGCAGCCTCCTTTCTCCTCTTTCTCCCCAGACACATTGTCTTAGTAGCTGGGGAGGGTTTCAACCAGAGCCTCTGTTGCTCACTCCTGGCCCTCCCCTGGCTCTAGGCAGCGTCCTCAGCCTCCCCAAAGACCACCCCAACCCCCGGGGGCCAAAAAGGGGCCTCAAGGCCCTTGTATCACCCAGACAAGCATCGCCATCACCAACATCCCATCATCATCTTAATCGCAAGTCACTTTTCTGAGTCCACCTCTGAGCCTTTGGACTGGCTGTTCCTTCTGGCTGGAATGTTTGTTCCTTAGAAAGCCCCTTAGCTGACATCTTCCTCAGGTCCCTCATCAGACAGCATCTCCTCTTGGGGCCTTTTCCACCATGCATTCCTGTCTTCCTTACCCTGCTTTACTGTTCTTCATCCTACCTGCCATCAACTGACATATGGAATCACATTAGAGTCACTGCCGGTCTCCTCATCTAGAGCACAAGCCTATGAAGGGGGAAACAGCGTCTGCTTTGCTACTGCTGTGTGTCCAGCCCCTAGAACGCAACTGGACACACAGGCTGAGCCCACAAATGTTTGCTTCTTGCAGCTGCATTTCCCACCTGCGCTGTATTCCTTTATCTAGGACCCTGTGAGGCAGGGGCTGCTGTCCCATTCTAAAAGAGAGCACCCTGAGGCCCAGAGAGGTTGACGGCAGTTGCTTACCTGGGTGGCACAGGTCCATTCCGACGCCTCTGGGGAAAAGATGACCCGTGCTCCTGTCGCTTGCCGACCCAGCTGCTGTTCGGGCTGGCCCGGCAAGGATGCGTCACCTTGACTGTAACAGGCTCCTTCCTGCTTGCCCCGCCCAGCCCTGTGTGGGGAGGAAGTCAGTCCTGGCCCACGGGGG
The DNA here is from genome assembly GCF_000001405.40 of Homo sapiens. Taxonomy (NCBI): domain Eukaryota; kingdom Metazoa; phylum Chordata; class Mammalia; order Primates; family Hominidae; genus Homo; species Homo sapiens. Next base: position 37,282,404 of record NC_000022.11, on the reverse strand, counting down.
TCTCGTGTGCAGGCTTTTGACAAAACAGCACTTCCTAAAAACTGGCAGAGTTTTGAGCAGCAGGGACTTTTGCCAGGGAGGGACAGAGGTGGAAACAAACAAACAAACAAACAAACAAACAGATGAAGTGAGGGGAGGGCCAGATAAAAAAGAGAAAGACAGTGAGACAGAAAGAAACACACAGACACATATGCACATACACACGTACACATGCACAGACACCGAGGGCGATGTTCACTGAGGACGAACATTTTCCAGGGGACCATGGGCATTCACGTGGCAGCCTCCTCACATATATGCCATAGGAGCGCCCAACTTGGACAGTCCTAGCAGGGCCCCCTGTGTTCCACCCCACAAGCTCTCTTCCAACTCCCACTTGAGAAGAGACAAATGAATTCACTGCTAGGAAGGGCTTTGCTTCCCTTCAAAGAAATATCTGGCTTTTTCTTGTCTAGTGAACAATCGGGTAATATGTTCCACTTTCCTTCTCCCCCAGGCTGCTGGGAAACTCATCGTCAAATCCAAAGCTCATCGACAGCTATTCTATGATGTCATGTGAACTTTGGGGCCTGACTCAGCTGTTTGACTCTCAGCTAGGGCTAGTCAGCCTCGCTTTGCTTATCTCTGAAAGGGGAATAACACTAACTCGGGGATATGGAAACCATGGAGTGAGAGGATGTGTCGGAGATGCTTGGGACATAGTAGGTGCTCAATAAACACTTTCTCCTTTGATTTTAATTATCTTCTTTGGTTAAAATGTATCATGTTATTCCTTGTGCCTTTTCTGGCAGGTTGGTTCAAATCCTTTCTGCAAAAAGCTTTGCTGTAAAGAAACAGGTATAAATTAAATGTGAATTCCCTATAACTTCAGGACACATGCAGAGTTATTCATCTGTTTCCCCATTACTCTCCAGGCCCCATGAGGGCAAGGTTACCTTTTGTGTTCTGGTGTGTGGTAAAATGCTGGGGACATAGAGGGTGTGCAAGTGTGGAATGAATGAACAAATGAATGAATGAATGAATGAATGAAGGGAACATGGAAGAGATCACGGCCGATGTGAAAGCTAGCTACAAGTTCACCTCCTTTTCACTATGCCGCCGCTTCTGCTGTCAAGGGGCGAAGTCCATTTCTCCTTCCTTGGAAGCTGAGCTGGCCTTGGGCATCTCTTTGACCAATAGCACGTGGCAGAAATGATGTGCCGTGATGTTCGAGGCTGAGCTTTAAAAGGCCTTGCAGCTCCTGCTCTTGCTCTCAGCCCCCTGCCTGGCTACCATGAGAACAAGCCTGGGCTAGCCTGTTGGAAGACGGAGGACCACAAGGAGATAGGCTGGGCTGTCTTGGCTGTCCCCTGGTTGCTGCCTCATCAGTGAGGCCAGGGGACACCAGAAGAAGAACCATCAAGCGGAGTCCCACCCAAACTGCTGACCCATAGCACTGTGGGAAATAATACATTTTTGTGGTTTAAGCCACCAACTTCTGGGATGCTTTGTTATGCAGCCAAAGCTTGCTGATACAGAAGAAATCCAATGCTGTCATTTCCTCGGAGAGAAAACTGAGGCTTATTTCTGGGAAACACTTGACCAAGTTGGAACTTGAGTGAGTGCCAATTCAGGCCCAGAAGCCAGGCCTACTAAGTCCCCGTCTAGTGTGCTCAGGATTTTTGAACCCCGCTGCTTCTCCCCTGCCCTGCCTCCACCTGGGTTCTTGTATAACTCATGGTTCTTTTCTGGAAAACTTGTTACAATTATTTCCATGGTAAACTAGATTTTTCTCAACTGCTTTGGGCCTGAGGCACCACAAACCATGCCCTTGGCCATTTTAAAACTAGAAATGTGGGCTGGGCATAGTGGCTCATGCCTGTAATCCCAGCACTTTGGGAGGCCGAGGCGGGTGGATCACAAGGTCAGGAGATCAAGACCATCCTGGCCAACGTGGTGAAACCCCGTCTATACTAAAAATACAAAAATTAGCTGGGCATGGTGGCGGGTGCCTATAATGCCAGCTACTTGGGAGGCTGAAGCGGGAGAATCACTTGAACCAGAGAGTCGGAGGTTGCAGTGAGCTGAGATCGCGCCACTGCACTCCAGCCTGGCAACAGAGTGAGACTCCGTCTCCAAAAACAAAACAAAAGAAAAAACAAAACAAACAAAATAACCCCTAGAAATATGGAGAAAGGTATATATAATTCCCTGTGCAGAAAGACTTCACACTGCAGGCCGGAGACTGCTATCTTTAGAAAGTCATGCTTGCAAAGTTGACCCTTGGCTGGCACCTGGGAGCTTGGATTTGGGGAGGGCTCCCACCACCCTAACTGATGAGAGTGGCTTACTGGGCCTAACCTATTTGCCTAGCGTCCCTGGCAGCATCCCATCTCACAGGTGCTTTCACGACTTGTTGCTGGAGGAATTGAGCGTGTCCCGTGTGACTCTTTTGGGAGCAGACTCTTGGAAGCTGCCCCTGGTTTCCTCTGGACTTCGCCACGGCGCCTTTGCGGATTCTGCTTTGAGTCCTTTCACTGCCATAGATCATAGCCGTAAGTATGACCATGAGCTGAGTCCTGGGAGTCCACCTAGTAAACCACTGAACCTGGGATGGCCTTGGGGAAGGCTGCCTGATCTTGCGGCTGATCCAGTAAATGTGTCTTGACCAGGCCACGGTTTGGCATCTGACACTTCCCTTTTGTCTGATGGATGGTCACGGTTGTGTGGTTCAGCTATTGTTACTGTCTTATTCTCTAAGACATACCTCAAATACCACCTCCTCTGTGAGGTCCGTTGTGATGACACCTCCCCTCCCTCTTTCCCACAACGCTGGTCATGTTTAACGGCTTATATGCAGACAGCCTGGGAGGGAGGGACTCTTTCACTGTGAGCAGCAAAGAGTTTAGCAGAACTGACTTCATCATTTTCTCCGTCACTCCTTGTCCAGGTTTGGCTGCAAGATTTGCTGGGAACCAATAGCACAGGCAATGAGGAGAGCAGGAAGCTGGACCCAGGGGAGTCACAGAGAACTGGATTTGAATCCTGACTCAGCTCTTGTGAGCTGTGTGATCTTCTTCCTTCCCCTCCGAGCCTCATTTTTAATCATTTAAAATCATCTACAAAATGGAGACAGTTCAGGTTAGGTTTGCCTACATGAAACAGAAAACCCAAATAATAATAATGGTTTAAAGAAACTAGAGGTTTATTGATCTCTTACAAGAAAGAAACCTGAAGTGGGCAACACATGGCTGCCCTGTAGCAGCCTGGGCATGGATCCAGGATCCTTCTAACTTTCGGCTGCTGTCCTCAAATTCTCTTCATGGTCCAAAGTGGCTGCTTGATCTCCAGCTATCATGTCTAAATTCCAGGTAGGAGGAAGGATGAAAACGGGAAGGAATCCCCTTAAAACTTTCTGGCCTGAGATCAGTCCTTCTGCGCTACATCAGGCTCTGGTTCCCACCTGTGTACCAGGCAGGGGATCCGCAGTTGGTTCTGGGACAACAAATGAGAGTCTCCAAACACGAGATCTGGGAGGTCCTAAAAAAACCATCACTGCTATTTCTGGAGTGCCTGCTATGGAGTGCCAGACACTGTGCTAAGTGCTTGTCATCTCATTTAACCCTTTCCACCATTCAACAAATTACATTATTACAACCCCTCTTTCATAGATGAGGGAACTGAGTTCAGAGAGGTTAAATCACTTGCCCAAGGTCACGCAGCCAGGAGAAAGCAAAGTTCAGATTCAAGCCCTGAACTGTCTGACTTCAGATCCCCACACTCAGCTTGTACAAGCGTCACTTTAAACATTTCAGAAGTTCACCGACCTGCCCTCCCCACTCCCTGCACTTCCTTTGAGGGAGAGATAGGAAGGGTCTAGCATCTGAATCAAATAATAGCAAAACCATCTGGGTAACATCTTCTGTTTGTCCAAAAGCTCAGAATTCCTCACGTGATGCCAATGGCCCAAGGGCGAGAGAGATGGAAGAAGCTTAGAGGAGGTCTGATTCCATGGCCTCATCTTACAGATGGGAAACGGAGGCTGGGAGAGGGAAGGGACTTAACAGAGTGAGTTAGAAGCAGAATCTGCCCTTAAGCCCATTTTGGCTGCACAGTCAGAGTGCCCATCCATCCATCCATCCATCCATCCATCCATTCATTTATTTATTCCTTTGATGTTTATTGAAGGCCTGCTATGAGCCGTGCACTGTTCCTGGCATTGGCACAGACAAACGTCCTGCCCTCATGGGGCACATGGTTGAGTCACTAGGCCAGATGGGAGGTGGCAGGTGGTGGGCAAGGTGTGTGTTGGGGGAGTGAATCCTCTCTGCAGTCCTTCCCCTTTCTCATTTTCTCTGATTTCTGATTTTTTCCTCAAGGATTCAGAACTGGAGACAGCGTCCTGGAGGCTCTCATAGTGGAGCATCCTGAAACTGCTGAAGGTCTGCCTGTGAACCTGAGCTGTGAGTAGGGTTTCCAGAGCACAGATCTCTCTAGATGTGCCTGATTTCCCCCAGACCTGTCACTCCTCATCCAGTGACCAAGAGCACGGGCAATGGGAGAGAAGGAAGCTGGATCCAGGAAGGAGGGCCTGCGACCCAGTAAGCCATAGGCAGGGATGGGGGTCAAGGGCAGTGGGGCACATGCTGATGTTCAAGTTCTAGAACTTGCCCGTAACGCAGAGGCTCCTCCTAGCACCACTGATAACAGAGAATTTGGGGAAGAGCTCAAAGGCTCATCGGAGAGCGAATGGTTAAAAAAATTGTACCGTGTCTGGATGATGGGTCAGTGCGAGTCATGAAAGAGAAGAATTACGATGTAGGATTCAAGCATCTACTTCCAGTTGTATGTAATGTTAACTCAGACCAGCTTAAATGGGAACTGAGCGGCTCAGTCTCTCAACAGTCTGGAACGGGGTTGGCCTTGGGGATAGAGATAGCAGAGACTCTTTTTTATTTTTATTTTTTAAGATGGAGTCTCACTCTGTTGCCCAGGTTGGAGTGCAGTGGTGCGGTCTTGGCTCACTGCAATCTCCGCCTCCAGGGTTCAAGTCATTCTCCTGCCTCAGCCTCCCAAGTAGCTGGGATTACAAGCACCTGCAACCACGCCTGGCTAATTTTTTTTTTTTTTTGTATTTTTAGTAGAGATGGGCTTTCACCATGTTGGCCAGGCTGGAACTCCTGACCTCGTGATCTGCCCTCCTTGGCCTCCCAAAGTGCTGGGATTACAGGCGTGAACCACCGTGCCCAGCCTACCCGAGACTCTTAAGTGTCCTTGTTAATTCTCTCCCTCCCTCTCTGTCTCTCAGTTCCAGGCTCACATCAAATCATCTTTGATTTCAGAGAGAGGGCTTACCAAAGAGAAATTTCCCAGGAAAAGACTGTGATTGGCTAGGCCTGGGTCATGTGCCCCACCCCTGGAACAATCATTGCAACAGCGTGGGAGAAACAGCATGATGGGTCAGGCCTGGGTTATGTGCCCAGCCATGTGGCCAGAAGGGAGGTGAGAGGGGATGGACAGGCCCACCAGAGCCACAAGGTGAGGGGCATTTCTCTAAAAAAAGGAAAGCTAGGCAGATAAAAACAACATTCACTCTTGCTATGTATTTATTTATTGAGACAGAGTCTTTCTCTGTCTCCCAGGCTGGAGTGCAGTGGCAGCTCACTGCAACTTCTGATTCCCAGGCTCAAATGATGCTCATGCCTCAGCCTCCCGAGTAGCTGGGACTACAGGCACACACCACCATGCTCAGATAACTTTTTGTATTTTTTTTTAGTAGAGACAGGGTTTCACCATGTTGGTCAGGCTAGTCTTGAACTCCTGGCCTCAAGTGATCAGCCCGCTTCAGCCTCCCAACGTGCTAGAATTACAAGCATGAGCCATCGCACCTGGCCCCCTCTTGCTATTTTTGATCCTAGGTTATATTGATAAACATGGAAAGTTATCCTCGACATAGAACTGTGAGTTTGTGTGTTTTCATGTAGCCTGGGGATCGGGAGCCCAGACTCGGGATCCAGACGGTCTGGGCTCAAATTCCAGCCTTGCCACTTTCTTACCATGGTCTTAGGTGATTGACTTCACCTCCCTGAGCCTCAGTTTCTTCATCTGTAAAATAGGCATAATAAGGGTGCTTGCCTCATATCATTGGTGACGGGATCTCTGAGTCAAGCTGTGTCAAGTGTGTTGGAGTGGCGCTCGGTCTGTCGTCAGTTTTTGATCGATGTTAGCGGTTGGAGAGGCCTAGAGCAGGGGTTGCCAGCTTGAATGCCCTGAAGGGTGAGACAATAAGCAAATGAGGGGAGTGGGCCCACTTAGGGACACAGCGGGGAACGGTGGGGACTGTAGCAAAATGGAGTGGCTTGTCCCATATGAAGTGGGCAGCTGGTCCTGGCCCCAGCTGACTGCCACCATGGAGAGACAAGAGTACAGGATGGCTGGTTTCTCTGTTTTCCAAGCATGGCTGCATTCATCTGCTTTTGTGTGAGATTCATCCTCAAGTAGTTTGACAAAATGGCAAAATGCTGAGCTGGAGAACATGGTGGAGGCCAACGCCATGGGCTGGATGTGGTTCGTGGCTCGCCCACTCACTGCCTCCCAGGTAAGCAGATGATGAAAGATCTTATCTGGAAAGGACAGTCACCAATGTGGTGACAGTCACTGTCCCTGTGTTGTAGGATTTACGGTGATTTGAATCTTCTTGGTATTTAGACATTTTATTCATCACCACCAACAACAAAAGAGAGGGTAGGAGCTGTGGGAAAAGGGGTTGGGAGGAGCGTGGGGAGAGAAGGTGGACAGGGTGGTGGCCACATTCAGGGTGCTTGCGGGAGCCCAGAATGTCAGTCTCCGCATGTTAACACACACCAGCCTTGACGCCTAGCAGAGGCTGAGCAGGGTGGGGGCCAAAGCTGCCTTCTCCGTTTCTCCTTAACGGTGTCCCACGTAGGTGACCTCCCTCTTGCCTGAGAACCCCTGGACTTGGGTTCAAATCCCAACATTACCAGTGTGGGATTTGCGACTTTACCTCTGCGTCTGTGTCCCTGTCTGCAAAGCGAATGTAGTCAGGCCTCCTCTCCTGTGTAGATGAAGGGATTGCAAAAGCAAGCCAGGAAGGACATAGCCCAGCTTCGAGTGACAGGTGTGCCACACACGCGGATGTCTGAGCACCTGGTCCTGCCGTCTGGAGATGGTGTGCATCCTGCATCTATGGGCACTTCAACCCAAGCGGGGGAATCAAGTGCTGGGATTTCAAATGGAGGGACAATTTTAGGTGAGATTATCTCATACCTCATACCTCGTAGATGGCTACGAGTTCTGAGCACAGACTCTGAGCCAGGCTGACAGCTGGGTGCTGGGGACAGAAAATTAAACAGCCAGCACCCATGCTCTGCGATAAGCCCAGGGCACAGAGGGGCTCTTAACCCATTCAGTGAGCATGAATGCTCATCTGGAGTCTTGACTGTTTGGTCTGAGGATTGAAATCAGTAGTTTGACACTATTGAAGGTCAAACAGGACTTTTTGAGGGAGAAGGTGAGGAGACGGTGTCCCTGGCTGTAGGAACAGCCAAATGTAAGGGCTGGGTGGCTTGAGAGGGAATGCAGAGGCGCTGGGCACGAGGCTGGTCTAGTTCTGCTTTGGGTTTCTCCCTCTCCCCCACGCCCCTGGGCCTCTACCCTCGACTCAGCTGCTCCCTGACTCCCACTTCCCCTTTCCAACCAGGCAGCTGTAGTTTTGGGACTGGGCCCTTTTCTGCTAGGGACAGGAAAACACACTTGCAGGTCCAGTGCATGCATGCGTATCACGTGCACGAAGAGGGGCCCTGGGTTCTGCCCCGCGCCAAAGTCACTGCGGTAGGGGCCTGGAGGAAGCCCAAGGTCTCCTGCGGGCCCAGGAGGTGTGTCATGGGGTGGGATGGATGGAGGTTCCAGACAAACCAGGGGCAGCCTCTCTCTGTGTCACTCCTCCCTGAGGTCACAGATGGCTGCTGCAGTCTCAGGTGTCACATCCTGACTTGACCATGCCTACCCTGGCTGCGCTCAGCCCCTGTGGCCAGGGTGGGTCCATGCTCACACCTGGATGCAAGGGATCCTGGGAACATAGCCCCTGGCATTGGCAGCATCGAGGTGGGAGGTGGGGAGGAGGGGGCTGCTGGTGGGAATGAAGGGACCAGCCTGTGAGATCCTGGAGGGGCCATCATGGGAATAAGGGGGAGCAGCAGAGGGATGGATGAAGGAACCCAGGTGTGGTCAGAGGCTCCCAGATGAGGGCCTTCCAGGAAGTGACTGGCCATATCCCTGGCTGCTGGGAGGTGGAGGTCTCCAATGTCCATGGGGTCAGCAAGGGGCTGGGGGTGAGCGGTGGGGAGGAAAGGAGGGGAGGAAGTGGAGGGTGTGAGGTGGGGCAGGGACGAGGGCTGGGAGAGGTGGGATCCGCTGCAGCCCGAGGGGGTGGGTTGAAGAGGGTGTTTTCGGGAAAGAAGCAACTTGACTTAAGTCAAGCTGCAAGAGGCCCGAGGTGTTTCTGAGTAGAGAGGAGGAGGAGGAGAGCAGGGCACGGGAGAGGACGGCAGGCTAAGAGGAAAGTCCGGAGGACCCTCTCCCCACGGGGAGGGTAAGGCTGGAACCTGCAATCCTGTCATCTGAAGGTGACTGTTTCCCATTTGACAGACCAGGAAACTGAGGTTCAGGGAGTCCTCAGTGGCAGGCCAGGGCTCCAGCCCAGAGTTTGGTTGTGACTTCTGAGTGGTCATGGTTAAGGCTGACTCATCTTTCTGGGACGTGAGTTCTAGCTCTTTCGGAGCCCACTCCTTCAGTGTCTGTGGGAGTCCTTTAAAAGATTGAAATCAGTAGTTAAACCCGTGTCCGCTTCAGTCTACCACGGAGTCTCATTTTTTGCCCGAAAGTATAATTGTAGAGCTCCAACCAAATGGATTCACACAGGATCTCCGGTTACACGTGATCGCTGGGTCCCTCTGTCCCCATTTCTGCCATTGTGTTCTTGTGTCTTTGGCTTCTACGTCCACATTTATGGGCCCTGGGGCGTGGGGGAGGCCAGGGCTACTTGCTGGACACCCTCCAGAACCAACCCCACCCCAGGGCAGCGCTGGGGCTCCCCGGGTCCTCCTGCTTTGAAAACTGAGTGGCCGAAACACTTCTGTGGGCTCTGAGGGCAGGGCTGGATGATTTTGTGTTTTGTGTTTCTTTGAGACAAGGTCTAGCTCTGTTGCCCAGGCTGGAGTGCAGTGGAGCAAACACAGCTCACTGCAGCCTTGACCTCCCAGGCTCAAGCGATCCTCCCACCTCAGCCTCCCAAGTAGTAGGACTACAGTCACATGCCACCATGCCTAATTTTTTTTTTTTTTTGTAGAGACAGGGGTCTTGCCATGTTGTCCAGGCTGGTCTCTAAACCCTGGGCTCAAAGGATCCTCCTGCTTTGTCTCCGAAAGTGCTGGGATTACAGGCGTGAGCCACTGTGCTGGGGCCAGGGCTGGGTATTTTGAAAGATACTCAGGGTTGGGTGTGGTGGCTGACGCCTGTAATCCCAGCATTTTGGGAGGCCGAGGTGGGTGGATTGCCTGTGGTCAGGAGTTCGAGACCAACCTGGCCAACATGGTGAAACCCGTCTCTACTAAAAATACAAAAAATTTAGCTGTGCGTGGTGGTGTGTTCCTGTAATCCCAGCTACGTGGGAGGCCGAGACAGGGGAATCACTTGAACCTGGGAGGCAGAGGTCGCAGTGAGCTGAGATTTCACCACTGCACTCCAGCCTCGGCAACAGAATGGAAAAAAAAAAAAAGAAAAGAAAAGATGCTCCGGATTTTGCCTTCTGGAGTGTAAAGCTAGACAGGGGCACCTCAGAATTGGTTGGTTTGCATGTGAAAGTCATTTTCTCTCTCTAGGAATTAGCTAACCCTGGGAGAGGTGCTAATTCTTAGTCACGAGGTCCCAGATGCCGGAGCCTCAAGAATATAGAAAGTAAGAAAATACAGTTAATATATTACATCTAGTTAGTACACTGGGCTGGTCTGGCTTCCTGCTGCATCTCCAGCACTTACAACAACCTGGCACACAATAGATGGTCAAAACACGCTTCTTGAAGGAATGAGGCTGGGTCGTGTTTGTGAAGGGCTGATGTGTGTCACATGAAGTGCCCCTGTCTGACTTTACACTCCAGAAGGCAAAATCCTGAGTATGGCGAAATCTCGGTTCACTGCAACCTCCACCTCCCGGGTTCAAGCGATTCCCCTGCCTTAGCCTCCCCGGGAGCTGGGATTATAGGCATGCGCCACCATGCACAGCTAATTTTTTTGTATTTTTAGTAGAGGTGGGGTTTCACCATGTTGGCCAGGCTGGTCTCGAACTCCTGACCTCAGGTAATCTGTCCGCCTCAGCCTCCCAAAGTGCTGGGAGGACTAGCTTCTTTCTGGTGTCAGCCAGCAGCTCCTTGGATTCCAATGAGTCACCCTGGCTTTGAACCTCAGTGCCTCCACCCGTGAGCTGCAGCAGCATCAGTCAGGCTCAGCCTTTCCATCTGTAAAATGCGGATACCGTGGAATGTCTCAGCAGCTTGGGAAGATCAGAGGGAGCAAAGGCAGAAGACAGGGGCTGGCTGTGTTTTCTTGAGATTTAGGAAAGATGATCTTAGGGAGGGAAACTCAAACCTGGATACACACCAGCCTCACCTGGGGTATCTGTTAAGATATAGACTCCCAAGTTCTGAGTCTGTCTCTCCGATGGAGGGACCTGGAATCATTATTTCAAACATGCTCTCAGATGCCTGTGACCCCAGTAAGGGCCATGCTGTCCTCCAGGTTCTGTAAAGATGTCAGGACATGCTCTGGGCTTCGGCCTTCAGCGAAGAAGTTCTTTTAAGTAACAAGGAAGCCACTTCTTTGCTTGCTGTTGAGGGCATGATGTCACCCAGTGCCTCTTACAGCAGAGCACGTAAGAGCTTTCGCCTGGCATGGTGTTAAGAAAACCCATCTCGCTAAGAAACTGACATGCTTCTCCTTTTCCAGTAAGGAGAACTGAGTAATGTATCCTGTTTCCCTTTTTGCCCCAGCTGCCAGGAAGCTCAGGCCAATCCGAATCTCATCAGCAACAACTCATCATTTGGCATATTTCCCTCTGCTTTTCTCATTGGTCTTGATCTTCTACTTTTGTATTCCTAGCTTTTTGTGTATGTGGGAGATGGAGATTCTCAATATAAAAGGAAAGGAGGAGGGAAGGAAGAAAGGCAGAATAAAGATATCCATCATGGGACACCACACTTAAAATTTTGGCCGCCAGCCTGCTGTGTGCCCTCAGGTCACTCACTCTCACTCTCTGATTCCCTCTACCCTCCTCACCCCCATCAGTCTCCCCTGCAGCCTCTCCTTTCTCTGTCTTCCCTGAAATGTTTATTCCCTTATTCATTCAACATATATTTATGGAATACCTATCTGTTCTGCTCCATAACAAATGACTTTGAAACGTCTTAGTGGATTTAAACAGCATTGATTTTGCTCACGAATCCGCAGTCTAGGCAGGGTCCCCCTGGGAGAGCCGGTCTCTGCTCTTCTTGAGGTCGGCTGGGGTGTTAATATCTGAAGGCTCAAACATGTGTCATTTCTTGGTGTTGGGGGAACACTAGCTATTTTCAAAATCTTCCCATCTAACTATTTTGAAATATACAAAAATCGTCCGCTATAGACTTCCTGCTGTGTTATAGAACGATAGAGATCATTCCTCCTATCCGGCTGTCATTTTGTACTTGTTAACCAATCTCTTCCTCCCCTCTGCTCCCCGATCCCCTTTCTATCCTCTGGTGACCTCCATTCTACTCTCTGCCTCTGTGAGATTGACTTTTTAGCTCCTACATATGAGAGACAATTTGTCTTCCTGCGCCTGACTTAATTCACTAACATAATGTCCTCCAGGCTCATCCGTGTTGTTGCAAATGATGATATTTCATTATTTTTTATGGCTGAGTAATATTCCACTGTGTATATGTATCACATTTTCTTTATCTATTCATCCACTGATAGACACTTAGGTTGCTCCCATATCTTGGCTATTGTGAATAATGACACAATAAACATGGGAGTACAGACATCTCTTCAACATGCTGATTTTCTTTCCTTTGGACATATACCCAGGAGTGGGATTGCAGGATCATATGGTAGCGCTAGTTGTAGTTTTTTGAGGAAGCTCCGGACTGTTTTCCATAACAGCTGTACTGATTTACATCCCCACCAACAGTGGCCGAGTTCCCCTTTCTCTGCATTCTTGCCAGCATTTGCCATGTTCTGTCTTTTTGATTATAGCAATTTTAACTGGGGTGAGATAATATCTTATTGTGGTTTTATTGTATTTCCCTGACGACTGGCAACGTTGAACATTTGTTTTTCATGTTATCTGTTGGCTATCTGCATGTCTTCTTTTGAGAAATGTCTATTCAAGTCTTTTGCCCATTTAAAAATTGTATTTTTTTTTCTTCCTGTTGAGTTATTTGAGCTCCTTCTGTGTTCTGGACATTAATTCTTTGTTGGGTGGATAGTTTGCAAATATTCCCTCCCATTCTATAGGTTGCCTCTTCTCTCTGTGGATTGTTTCCTTTGCCATGCAGATGTTTTTGGCTTGTTGCATTCCCCATTTGTCTATTTTTGCTTTTGTTGCCTGTGCTTTCGAGGTCTTATAAAAAAAAAAAACACTTTGTCCAGACCAATGTCCTGAGGCATTTTCTCTATGCTTTCTTCTAGTACTTTCCTAGTTTCGAGTCTTACATTTATGTCTTTAATCCATTTTGAGCTGATTTTTGTGTGTGGTGGGAGACAGGGGTCTAGGTTCCTTCTTCTGCATGCTGATATCCAATTTTCCTGGTCCACTTACTGAAGAGACTGTCCTTTCCTCAGTGTATATTCTTGGTGCCTTTGTAAAAAACCATTTGGCTGTAAATACGTGGATTTATATCTGGGTTTTCTATTCTGTTCCATTGGTCTATGTGTCCATTTTTGTTTTTGTTTTTGTTTTCTGAGACAGAGTCTTACTTCTTGCCCAGGCTGGAGTGCAGCAGCGCCATCTCCGCTCACTGCAATCTCCACCTCCCGGGTTCAAGCGATCCTCCCACCTCAGCCTCCCAAGTAGCTGGGAATACAGGCAAAAGCCACCATGGTTGGCTAATTTTTGTAGTTTTAGTAGAGACGGGGTTTCACCTTGTTGGCCAGGCTGGTCTTGAACTCTGACCTCAAGTGAACTCCTGCCTCAGCCTCCCAAAGTGCTGGGAATACAGCTGTGAGCCACTGCACCTGGCCTATGTGTCTACTTTTATGCCAGTACCATGCTGTTTTGGTTACTATAGCCTGGTGGTATGTTTTGAAGTCAGGTAGTGTGATGCCTCCAGCTTTCTTCCTTTTGCTCAAAGGCCCTGAATGCTTTGTCCATACAGATTGCATACAGATTTTAGGATTTTTTTTTTCTATTTCTGTGATGAATGTCATTGATATTTTGGTAAAGATTATATTGAATCTGTAGATCCCTTTGTGTGGTATGGACATTTTAACAATATTAATTCTTCCAATCCATGAACATGGGTTATTTTTCCATGTTTTTGTGTCCTCTTCAGTTTCTCTCATCAGTGTTTTATAATTTTCATCATAGAGATCTTTTCCCTCTTAGGTTAAATTTATTCATGGCTGGGCATGGTGGCTCACGCCTGTAATCCCAGCACTTTGGAAAGCCGAGGCGGGTGGATCACGAGGTCAGGAGATAGAGACCATCCTGGCTAACACGGTGAAACCCCGTCTCTACTAAAAATACAAAAAAAAAAAAAAAAAATTAGCCAGGTGTCATGGCGGGCATCTGCTGTCCCAGCTACTCGGGAGGCTGAGGCAGGAGAATGGCGTGAACCCGGGAGGTGGAGCTTGCAGTGAGCCGAGATCGCACCATTGCACTCCAGCCTGGGCAACAGAACGAGACTCTGTCTCAAAAAAAAAATTATTCGTAAGTGTGGTTTTTTTTTTTTTTTTGCAGCTATTATAAATGGGATTGCTTTTTTCTTTTTCAAGTTGCTTCCTACCGGTGTAAAGAAACACTTCTGATTTTTGTATGTTGATTTTGCGTCTTGCAACTTCACTGAATTTATTAGTCCTAACCATTTTTGAATGGAGTGTTTGGGTTTTTGTAAATATAAGATGATGTCATCTGCAAAAAGGGACAATTTTACTTCCTGCTTTCCAGTTTGGATGCCATTTTTTTCTTTCACTTGCCCAATTGCTCCGGGTAGGGCTAGAGTTTCAGTTTTGCAACCTTAAAAAAGTTGCACATTGTGAATGTACTTAATGTCACTGAACTTTACACTTCAAATGGTAAAAATGGTACATTTTCTGTTATGTATATTTCACTACAATTAAAACAACACAAATGAAGCCCTACAGAAAAGTTTTTTAAAAGGCCACCAAAAACCCTAGAAAGCTCTGGGAGGCACCCAGTGCGAGACCCGCACAGAGGGGCTCAGGCCTGAGATCAGGCCACCAAGCTGGGCAGACATGGCCAGCTCCTCCCCGTTACTGCTGGCTGCCCCGCTATAGTGAGCTTCCCTCTCTGGGCCTCAGCTTCCTTTTCTGTAAAACAGGGTTAGTGACCAGGTGCGGTGGCTCATGCCTGTAATTCCAGCACTTTGGGAGGCCGAGGTGGGTGGATCACCTGAGATCAGGAGTTCGAGACCAGCCTGACCAACAAGGTGAAACCCTGTCTCTGCTAAAAATACAAAAATTAGCCGGGCATGGTGGCAGGCGCCTGTAATCCCAGCTACTCAGGAGGCTGAGACAGGAGAATCGCTTGAACTCGGGAGGTGGAGGTTGCAGTGAGCCGAGATCGCACCACTGCACTCCAGTCTGAGTGATGGAGTGAGACTCCGTCTCAAAAACAAAACGAAAAACAGAAAACAAAAACAAAAAAACCGGGGTTAGTGACGACGCCTCCCTCAAGGGAAGGTTGTTTTTGTTTCATTTTTTCAAACAAGGGAAGTTTTGCAGAATGTAATGAAATAATCCATGTAAGGCAGTCAGCACAGAGCACGGCCACGAGTGGCCGAGGGAAGTGGGCCTGGGGTCTCTCAGCTCTCCAGAGCCGAGGCCCACAGGAGGAGCCAGACCAGAGTCGGGGCAGGGGTCTGGCCCTCCTTGCCCCACCCCTCGTCGGTTTCCTAGGTGACCAAAGCCAGCCCGCGGGCTCCCCTGCGTGGTCGCCGCGGGGATGGCACTCAGAGAACCCACCGCCTGGGGCTCCCCTGTGAACGAGGGGACCTCTGAGGGTCCTTCAGCCCCAATACCCAGGTATCCGTGGGGCTGGATTCTGGCCGGGAACAGGGCTGGACCCCTAGGAGCCCGTCACATGGGGGAGGCAATCCAATCCAGGATGATTCCGCTGACACGTAACGAGTTCTTGAAACAGTATGAACGGGAGTGGTAAGGATGGATTCCACATGGGGAGAACTGGGGAAGGGGTTGTCAGGTGTAGGGGTTGGGTTAGGAGAGCTGGCTTGGAAGAGGGAAGGGCACCGGGTGGTGGGGACAGCATGTGCAAGCCACAGAGGTGGAGACTGGGCGACCTCTGTGTACACTGGTGGGCAGGAGCACGCACTTAACGCTGAGTGAGTGTATGCGTGTGGCTTTAGCGGGAAGCAGGGGGGATGAACCTCAAAGGAGAAATGGGCCAGGTGCCCACGCCTGTAATCCCAGCGCTTTGAGAGGCCGAGGCCAGCGGATCATCTGAGGTCAAGAGTTTGAGACCAGCCTGGCCAACATGGTGAAACCTAGTCCTTACTAAAAATACAAAAATTAGTCGGGTGTGGTGGCACATGCCTGTAATCTCAGCTACTTGGGAGGTTGAGGCAGGAGAATCGCTTGAACCTGGGAGGTGGACGTTGCAGTGAGCTGACATCTCACCACTGCACTCCAGCCTGGGCCACAGAGTAAGACTCTGTCTCAAAAAAAAAAAAAAAAAGAGAAATGGGAGCCAGGTGGTGAGAGGCTCTGAATGCCAGAACACCATTTACTCTTCTTATTTTTTTCAGATTGGCAATAGGTAAGAAAGAAACCCTCCTTGGTGGGAAATGTCTCTTGTGCCAGATGCCTTGTCCCAAGTGCTCCTCAGTACAACCCTTTGAGATTCTGTTATGAGCCTGCCTTGCCTATGAGTGAGGCTGAGCCTTGGAGAGGTGTCCTCACTCCCTCTGGGTCACATGCCAGATGGTGGAGACCTGAGAACCGGGAACCAAGGTGAGCCCTGATTTGCAGTTTAGAAAGGTCACTCTGGCTGTCATGTGAAGGAAGGACTTGATGGACAGATTAAATGCAGACAGGCCTCTTAGGAGGCTGTTACAAAGGCCCAGGCCAGGGGTGCTGATGGTTGGGGGTACAGAGGATCTGGGGTGTGAGGGACCTTTGTGAGAGGTAATTAGATACTGAAACTGACTGGTCCTGGTGAAAAATCGAGGGTGAAGGTGAGCAGAGTGAAGGATGACTTTGAGGTTTCCAGCCTGGGAGACTGGCGGGTGATGGTGCTGTTTCTACAGGGGGCTGAGCCAGCTTAGTGGGCAGTAGGTTAATGATGGCTGCAAATTCTTTTTTTTTTTTTTTTTTGAGATGGAGTCTCGCTCTGCCGCCCAGGCTGGAATGCAATGGCATGATCTCGGCTCACTGCAACCTCCACCTCCCGGGTTCAAGCCATTCTCCTGCCTCAGCCTCCCAAGTAGGTAAGACTACAGGCATGTGCCACCATGCCTGGCTAATTTTTTGTATTTTTAGTAGAGACAGGGTTTCACCGTGTTGGCCAGGCTGGTTTCAAACTCCTGACCTCAAGTGATCCGCCCGCCTTGGCCTCCCAAAGTGCTGAGCCACTGTGCCCAGCCGATGGCTGCAAATTCTGTGCTCCTCTTTCCATTGAGCGGGGGAGTTTATTCCTTTCTTAGTACCTGGGCTTGGGCCCAGGACTCACGTGACCCATGGAACAGAGGTCCAGCTGGTATTCCATTGCCTGGCTATGGCAACTCGTTCAAGAGTGGTTTGGTGACCTGAGTAAGTCCAGTGAGATTCAGTCCTGGGACTTTTGCTGGAACAACTAGACAAAGAAAACTCCTTTCCAGTTGTGATGTCCAGCTGGGAAGATGATGTGAATCTGGAGTTCTAAGTACCAGAAGGATCCTAAGAATGAAGCCACAGCAGAGGAAGGTGAGTGGGGAGATGTGCAACAACAGCTATTGAGGCTGGATGGTATCATATGGGCCTCTGCATCATCAATGCTGGAAGCCCAGACAACTTGGTTACGTGAGCCAGCTAATTCCCTTTATGGCTATGACAAATATTAAAAAGTAGGCTCACTCAACAGCTATTCTCAATCCCTCTCCAGCTCTCCTTCCTCTACTAACTACAGAGTCTGAAACCTAAATTGTTATTTCCCAGCCTCCTTTGCAGCCAAGGATGGCCATGTGACCTTTCTGGCCAACCAGGGTCCCTGGAGAGGGTGGCCCTTCCTGAATAAAAGGAAATTCTCATGAGGAGAAGGCAGTGTTTGGCCCCCTTCCCTGCTGCTTGGAAAGTGGGTGTGAGGCTGGCAGGTGCAGCCAACTTGCAGCTCTCAACGGTAAGCATGAGGGGCAGAGCAAGTGCTGAGGGTGATGGGACCAAAACACAGAAGGGCCCAGGTTTCTGATGGCACTGCTGGGCTGCAGCTCCAGTCCCAGGCTGCCTCCTGACACCCTGCTGAGTGAGATCAACAAAGCCCTGCCCGAGCAAGCCCTGCTGCTTGTCTGCAGTGGAGTATGAGTGTGCTGACACATGGAGTGAGACAGAGGAGCCCAAACCAGTGCAAGGAGACAACTGGAAAAATATTGAAAAGGGGAGGGAGTGGCCCTAGCCAAGTGATGCAGAGAGGCAGGGTAGGAGTGGGCTAGGGCCCAGGTCGACTCACTCACCTTCCATTCTACCCCGCCTCACCCTCCTATACTGCAGAGGCTAGCAAGCTAAAGCCACCCTTCCTCCCGGATCCCTTGCAGCTATGATTCTGGATGTGAATTAGATCCTACCAATGGGATTTGCTCCCATGAGATTTGGAAAGCAGCTGTCTTCTTGCTGCTCTTGGCAGTCATTGCTGGCAAGTGACCTTGTGGGTGTCAATAAGCAGTTGCAGCAGAGGACGCAGTGCTGGACCCTGTGTCGTAGTATCTGGACTCTGACTTCCTGAGGCTCAAGATTCGGGTACAGCAGTGGTGGTAGCATCCTAACCCCTGGGTGGCAGCCACAGTGGGGGGTTTAGAGGTGGCCCCTGACTCCTCACCTTCCTGGCTGTGGCCTCGGTGGCAGCCCCTCTTGGTCAGTTCTGTGGTGTCCTGGGAGTCATTTCTGGAAACTGGCCCTGGAGCACGCTCCCTGAGTACATCTTATGATGTTGTAGGTGCTGAATTTCCTATGTTCAATCTCTTTCTGCTTAAGATACCTAATGTGGCTTCTAGTCCTTACACTGAAACATGACTGATACAAGGACCAAGAAGTGACCGTTGGATTTAGAAACCTGGACGTCATACGTAGGTGAGCCTCAAGGGAGCATTTTCACTGGAGTGGTGGTGTAGGGCCATCCATTGTGGGAGCCGTTAGCACCTGTATTAATTCTCCAGGGCTGCCATGTCAAAGGACCACAGATCGGGAGGCTTCAACAACAGGAATGTACTTTTTCACAGTTCTGGAGTCTGGAAGTCCAAGATCAAGGTGTCAGCAGGGTTGTTTCTTCTGAGGGCTCCCCTTGGCTAATGGTGGCCGTCTTCTCCCTGTGTCCCCACATGGGCTTCCCTCTGTGCGTGTCTGTGTCCTAATCTCCTCTTCTTATATGCACACCAGGCATATTGGGTGAGGGTCCACTCTCATGACCTCACTCTACCTGAATCACCTCTTTTTTCTTCTTCTTCTTTTTTTTTTTTTTTTTTTTTTGAGACAGAGTCTCGCTCTGTCTCCCAGGCTGGAGTGCAATGGCACGATCTGGGCTCACTGTAGTCTCTGCCTCCTGGATTCAAACAATTCTCCTGCCTCAGCCTCCTGAGTAGCTGGAATTATAGGCATGCACCACCATGCCTGTCTAATTTTCGTATTGTTAATAGAGACGGGGTTTCACCATATTGGCCAGGTTGTTCTTGAATTCCTGACTTCGTGATCCACCCACCTTGGCCTCCCAAAGTGCTGGGATGAATCACGTCTTTTAAGACCTTGTCTCCAAATACAGTCACATGTGGAGTTACTGGGGCTTCAACATATGAATTTTAGGGGAACACAATTCAGTCTGCAGTTCCCCTAAAAACACGCTGTAATCCACAGAAGTGGGTCAAACACCAGGAGGACACTGCTGTGGAAGAGGATGGAGATTTAGCTTCCCAGGTTTTGGTTCTCTGGGGTCCCTGGTCCCCAGCCCTCCTCGGCCCAGTCTCCAGATTCCCCATCTTTGTGTGCCAATAATGGTGTCCAATCTCACTCTCACTGACCATGGAGGAAACCAGGGTGCAGTGGGTGTTTCCTGGAGGCGAGGGCAGGGGAGGGGAGGTAGGGTCGGTGGATGGCAGCCGGAGGGGTCTCGAAGACAAAACCCCTGGGCTGCTTCTTTGTAAGATGGGAGAGACCGGATGTGAGATGAGGGAGACAGTAGAACGAGGCTGAGGACATTGGAGAAAGAGCAGAGTGACACCCTAGAAGTGGGGAGAGGAATACAAGATAAAAAGGAGAAAGCCAGCCCCATCACACTCATGCTGACATTTATCCAGAGTCTGCTACGTGCCAGTTTCCTTCTAGGTACATGACACACATACTTGCACCCCGTGCTCATGGCTATCCAGAGAGGGAGGTGCCCCCATCAGCAATGGGAGAGCAGTTTGCAGAGGTGAAGCCACTCACTGGGGACACACGGCCAGATAGCAGAGGAGGCGGGTGGAGACACAGCCTGACCCCAGAGCTCGTGAGTGGGAGAGGTAGAAAGTTGGAGGAAGAGGGCACAGTCATCTTGAGATGGGCTTGAGTAGAGTGGAGACTGAGGTCACCTCTGGAAGAAGAAGTTGGTGTTTGAGAATGGGGTTGGTGGGAAGTGGGGAGTAGGGGTGAGAGAGAGCCCCCTAGCATTCAGTGAGGGTCCTTGCTGAGGCTGAAAGTGGAGTTTGCCCCCTAGACTTTCTCCCACCACCATCTGCTGCTGCTGGGTGGATGGGGTCTTGAGCTGCATTCCTTCCCTGGGTGGCCTCCTGCTGCTTTAAATACTGACTTAGTCTCTGGAGTCCTAAAAGAAATGGAAGAAAACACAAATAAACGGAATGATATCTTGTGTTCATGAAATGGAAGAATCAGTATTGTTAAAATGTCCATAGCACCCAAAGAGCTACAGATTCAGTGCAATCCCTATCAAAATCCCAACGTCATTTTTCACAGAAAAAAAAAAAAAAAAACCCTAAACGTTGTATGGAACTACAAAAGGCCCTGAGTAGCCAAAGCAATCTAGAACAAAAAGAACAAAGCCAGAGGCATCACCCTACCTGATTTCAAAATATACTACGAAGCTGAGATCTCACCACTGCACTCTAGCCTGGGCGACAGAGTGAGACCATGTCTCAAAAAACAAAACAAAACAACAACCCCAGAAACTCATTTCTCAGAGTTCTGGAGCATGGGAAGTCCAAGACCACGGTGCCAGCAGATTCAATGTCCGGTGAGACCTGCTTTCTGGTTCATAGATGGTGAACTCGTCACTGTATCCTCACGTGGTGGAGGGGGCTAGTTAGCTCTCAGGGCCTGTATTATAAAGGTGACAAGCCCACTTACGAGGGCCCTTCCCTAATGACCTAATCATCTCCCAAAGGCTTCTCCTTCAAATGCCATCACGCTGGAATTAGTTTTCAACATATGAATTCAATATATACGTTCTCAGGGATGTAAACACTCGGTCAATAGCAAATGCCATCTACGTTGGGACAACTCCACGCTTATGCCTCCAGCCTGGACCCTTCCCCTTTTCCAGAATATTCTATCCAAACACTCAACAGCTTCATGTTCAACAGGCTTCTCACCCAAAATGTCCAGGACAGAAGCTTGATTCCTGGATGCTCTAAGCCCACTCCTCCCGCGGCCACCCCCTCCTAGTTAAATGGTGCCTCCATCCGCCAAGGTGCTAAGAATGAAACCCAACATCATTCTTGACTCCCTCAGCAAGTCCTAAAGCCTCTACAATACCAACTCTCCGTCCAGCCACTTCTTACACTTCCCACCATCACCTCCCTGGCCCAAGCCTCCGTCCCCTTGCCTGGACACTGCCATGGCCCCACCGGGTCTCTCAGCGTCCGCCCTGGTGTCACTGTGGCCTATTCCTCATATGGCCACCAGAGGGTGCCTTCTTGATCAGGATTCGCCGGTTTTTCTGCTCGCGCCCAGAAGAAATCCAGTGTGTGAGCGAAGGCTCCTTGGTCATTTTTTCATGGCGCTTTCACCACCTGCCACTGTGATTGTATTTGTTGCTAGCTTGTTTATTGTCTGTCTCCCACCTGGAATGTGAGCTCTCTGGGGGCAGGGACTTCTATTTGTACACTGCCATTTACCCAGAGAAATGGACCCAGAACGAGCTTGTTAACCATGGGATGCTGGCCTGACAGAGGACTTGCTGGCAAGGGCCGATCTTCTCCACCCTTCTCCCCGACTATTCAAGGAACCTTTCCCCACAACCTCCATGTCCAGATGCCCAGCATCAGAAGCCCCTGGACCACCCAGAGCTGGAGGATGGACACCCGGGTCCAGGGCTCCAGGAGAAAGGCAGGAGCCGGAAGGCCATGGGGGAGGGAGGGTGATTTTTCTAGTGAGAATGAAGCCTTGCCCAAGACCTGCCCATGGGAGGAGATGAGATGGGGATGGAGGGGTGCATTGTTTGGAGAGGAGAAGCCGCTCCACTTCTCCCGCCTCTGTGGACTAGCGTAGGGGTCCCCAGAGAAGCTTCATCTGTATTTACAGCTGCTCCTCGTTGCTCGCATTACTGCCTGAGCTCTGTCTCCTGTCAGATCAGCCGTGGCATAAGATTCTCATGGGAGCATGAACCCCGTTGTGAACTGCGCATACGAGGGATTTGGGTTGCAGGCTCCTTATGAGAATCTAATGCCTGATGATGATCTGTCACTGTCTCCCATCACTCCCGGATGGGACCGTCTAGTTGCAGGAAAACAAGCTCAGGGGTCCTACTGATTCTACATGATGGTGAGTTGTGTAATTATTTCATTATGTATTACAATTAATAATAGAAATAAAGTGCACAATAAATGTGTTTGCATCATCCCAAAAGCATCCCCCCAAATCCGTGGAAAAATTGTCTTCCACGAAGCCAGTCCCTAGTGCCTAAAAGGTTGGGGACCGCTGGGCTAGAGCAACGGCTGGTGCAGACCTCAGGGTGTTTGGTGCCTGAAGGTGGACAGGCAGGCTGGGCTGGGACTCTGTTCCTACCCTTCCACGATAAGGTTGGGACTGGGCTAAGAAAGGGAGGGGGTGAGTGGTGACTGCTGAGGGCCTAGAGGGGGCACCCCAAGGTCCAGTAGGAAGAGGATTTGGTTGGGTAGGAAGGGGAGGGGGCTTTGTCCCAGAGCGACGGGGAAGACAGGATGCCACGCGCAATCTGGAAATCTCGCAACGCCCTCTCCCGGCACTAACGCATCTCTACATTCCCAGGGAGAAACGCGGAGTTCTCAACTGAAGCTCAAGGTGGAGAGCGAGAGAAGGAGGCGGATTCATGAAATATTTCGGAGAGAGGAGCCACGGGGCCCTGAGGGCGGCAGAAGCTGCGGCCGAGAGGAAAAGCACCAAGAACACCGCCCTGCCGGGAACTAGTTTTAAATCCACGTCCAGGTTTTGTATGAGCCTCGCTGGAGGAATATACGTTCAGGGTAAATTGTGTTGGTCAATGGGTACTGTTAACTGGGAAAAAAAATCACACAATTTATATATTTAGAAAGGAGATTTTATTTCTTTAAAGAGTTACAGCCTGCAAGGTGGCCATCCTGCACATGGCATGTGGCAGAGGCCAGAGACAGGCACTTCAAAAGAGGAGGGGTTGGGGTAGCAGCTTTATGCTAAAGGCGTTGGCTAAACATACATATTCAACAGGCTACAGGAGGAGCTATGCATATTCATGAAGGTGGCCCTGACGGATGCATATTGAAAGAACATGCATGTGATATACTACCCATGTTCACTTTGGGGTGGAGACTTAACATGTAAATGCATTACACTTAGGCCCTATACCGCTAAAGGTCTTCGGAACACGGGCGCGGAGCTTCTGCAAACCGGCCAGAACTGGTCCGTGGTCCGTGGTCTTCTGATCTGGAGAAAGCTACTGAAATCAGTCTCTTCTCTAATGAAGGCTGGAATTAGGGCCTGGAGCAGGGGCTCAGTTGCTCAGCGTAGGGGCCCTGGATGAGCTGTGATTGATTTCATCTGGCTTATCTCGAGGCAGCGGCTTGTTTAGCTGCCAGAGCAAAAGAAACACCTTGTGGCAGGCAGGACAGAGTTCACGGTTTAAGTGTGGGGTGTGTGACCTCACCCTCACCTGGCAGGGCCTGAGGTCCTGGTTGTAATTTGGTATTGTGTTGCCACAAAGTCTGTTCTGTCCATATTATGGTTCTTTTTTTTTTTTTTAATTTATGGTTCTGTTTTAACATTACTGCTGGTCAGTTGTGTCTCAACTGCGAAAGGGAGGTGTATAATGAGGCGTGTCTGACCTCCCCTTCCATCACGGTTGGGATCTCAGTTTTAAAAGTTTTTCTGGGCCAGGTGCAGTGGCTCACGCTTGTAATTCCAGCAATTTGGGAGGCAGAGGCAGGGGGAGCACTTGAGGTCACAAGTCCGAGACCAGCCTAGCCAACATGGTGAAACCCTGTCTCTACTAAAATGCAAACATTAGCTGGGCGTGGTGGTGGTGGGTGCCTGTAATCCCAGCTACTCAGGAGGCTGAGGCAGGAGAATGGTTTGAACATGGGAGTCAGAGGTTACAGTGAGCCGAGATAGTGCCACTGCACTGCAGCCTGGGCGACAGGGCGAGACTCTGTCTCAATAAATAAATAAATAAAAATAAAAGTTTTTCTGAGGTCCCTTTGGCCAAGAAGTGGTTTGTTTAGTCAGTTGGAGGGCTTATAATTGTATTTTTAGTTTACAGTAGCCATCTGTAAAACTATAAAGTTGAGTCTACCTTACACTGTGCAATGGGATAATGAGTCATGTCAAATAATTCAGTGTAACAAATGAAACCACAAAACTATAAGAAGAAACTATAGTAAACTGTTTGAAAAATATAATTTCAGAATGGCAAAGACCTTTCTAAAAATCACAAAGAACCCAGAAGCCATAAAAGAGAAGATTGATTAACCAAACTATTTAAATATGCAGAAGTCCACGTGGCTCAAGTCACCATCAGTTAAGCCAAAGTGCCAGTGGCCACCTGGGAACATATGGCTGTAACTTGTGTGATGGACCAGAAGT
Source organism: Homo sapiens (assembly GCF_000001405.40). Taxonomy (NCBI): domain Eukaryota; kingdom Metazoa; phylum Chordata; class Mammalia; order Primates; family Hominidae; genus Homo; species Homo sapiens. The sequence goes on along the minus strand of NC_000022.11, from coordinate 37,257,910 downwards.
GAGTCCCCCTAACATGGAAATCAATCAAAAAGACCAACACCGAATAAGAAAGTAGGCAAAAGGTATGAAGGCACAGTTTACAGGAAAAGAAAATACAAATGGTTTTTTTTTTTTTTTTTTTTTTTTGAGGTGGAGTTTCTCTCTGTTGCCCAGGCTGGAACGTCGTTGCATGATCTCGGCTCACTGCAACCTCCACCTCCTGGGTTCAAGCGATTCTCCTCCCTCAGCCTCCCAAGTAGCCAGGATTACAGGCGCCTACTACCATGCCTGGCTAATTTTTGTATTTTTAATCGAGATGGGGTTTCTCCATGTTGGCCAGCCAAGTCTTGAACTCCTGGTCTCAAGCGATCCAAAGTGCTGGGATTACAGGCATGAGCCACCGTGCCTGGCCACAATGGCTTTTAACCCTCCAAAAAGATGCCTATCCTATGGAAAAGAAATGCAAATCAAAACTCCGGTGCAATGTCATTTATTGCTTACTGGGGTGTCATAAATAAGAACATTGCCTGAAACGCCGTATTGGTGGGGAAGCCAGTTTTCCCACACACCGCCGGTGGGAGGATGGATAGATACAACCCTGGTGGAGGGCCATTTGACACCGATGCACCCATTCTGTCACCCAGCAAACCCCTGTTGGGGAAGGCTGCCTTCAGATACTTGCATCTGGGCGAAATGGCACGTGTGCGCTGTTATTCATGGCAGCTTTCTCGTGGTAGCAAAAGGCGGGGAATCCTATCCTTCCTTCAACAGGAACTAATCAAATTAATTCTAGCAAGTCTGCACAATGGAATTCTGTCCATATAGAGGAAGCTCTTCGTCAACGAATGTGGGACAAACTTCAAGGTAAATAGTTAATGGAAACCAACAAGGTGCAGGACAGATTGGGATGAGAGACAGGAAGTGGAGAATGCTTTCTTCCACTGGAACATCTCTGGAGGGACATAGATACGTCAGTGACAGAGGTGGCCTCTGGAAGGGGAATTGAGTGCTGGGCAGATGGGCTGCAAGGTGGACCTGTGCCTTCTGTATTTTGGACCATGGGGATGCATTACCCATTCAAAAGTAGTATGAAAATATTAAAATGTAACAAAAAAACTTTAAAAATATTTGTGGTCTAGGTCCCAGTTTAGGGGGCTGGGATGATTGTGTTGTACTGGGATAGAAGAGACTGCTGGATTCAAGAGGGCAATGGGGTGTCCTGGGTGGGGGTAGGAGGCATCTCCAGTAGGCAGTGGAGAGAGATCTGGGAACTAGCCTGACTGAAGCGACCTCAGAGGGTGTACAGAGAAGGGACTGAGACCGAGGCCTGAGGCGCAGGTGTAGGAAGCAGGGGTGGGGGGTGTGTACCTGCTCAAGGATGGGAGGGGCAGCTCTCATCAGCCCGTCAGTTAGAGAGTGGCCTGTGGGGCCCGCTGGGAGGGCCTCCTGGGACCTGAGGTGTGGGGCAGTGGGAGCTTGGTTCTGTTTGGTATCTGGGTGTGTCTGGGGCACAGAGCCTGGCTCTGGGGGCAGAATGCTGGTTTTCTCATCAGGAAAGTCCCTGATGGAGAGAGGGACCCGCATTCTTCATGGGGGATCTTCGAAGAGAAAATCCTCTCCTAGAGGTAGGGAGGTGACTGGAACTGAAGAGTGGCCCAGGGCGGTCAGCCCAGGGAGCTGGGTTTGGGGATCGGGTGGGGGGCAGTCAGTGGGAGTTCCATCAGCTCCTCGGAATTTGACCTCAGAGCCACTCTGGGAAAACCCTGTCAGGCTGGGGACTCAACTCCAGCACCTGGGGACTGCCCAGAGCTGCCAGCCCTCCCTGTCACCTCTCTTGCTTGTGACACTGAACACAGGATGACCCCCAAGGCAGAGTGGACCTGGACGCAAATGTTCCCCAGCTCTGACTCCAGGGTGCCAGCCAGGGACACCCTAGGCATCCCCTCAATGTTTTCTTTCTTTCTCTCTCTCTCTCTTTCTCTCTCTCTCTTTCTTTCTCTCTCTCTGTCTCCCTCCCTCCCTCCTTTCTTCCTTCCCTCCCTTCCTCTCTTTTCTTTCTTTCTTTTTTCTTTCTGTCTTTCTCTCTCTCTCTTTCTTTCTCTTTCTCTCTCACTCTACTTTCCTCCCTTCCTTCCTTCCCTCCCTCCCTTTTCTTTCTCTCTCTCTCATCCTTCCTTCCCTCCTTTCTTCCTTCTCTCTTTCTCTTTTTCTTTCTCTCTCTCTTTCTTTCTCTCTTTTTCTTTCTCTCTCTCTCATCCTTCCTTCCCTCCTTTCTTCCTTCTTTCTTTCTGTCTCTTTTTCTTTCTTTCTTTCCTTCCCTCCCTCCCTTTCTTTCTTTCTTTCTTCTTCCTCTTTTCTTTCTTCTCTCTTTTCATTCATTCTCTCTCTCTCTTTCTTTCTTTTTCTTATTTCTACCACATTTTACTGAGTGCTAGGTCTGTGTCAGATCTTGGAATATAGTAAAGATTTTTAAAATGTTGGCTGCTATTTCAATAAGATTAAAAATTTTAGCATGATCTGATAATTCTAAAGTTGCATGCATTTGATGACATAACCTAAGGGTTTAAAAACAAAAATAAAAAGTGACAGAATTACAAGTAGAATTGACAAATTCACCACCATAGTGGGAGATTTAACATACTTTTCTCAAGAGCTGATAAATATAAGCAAGGTAAATATAAATTTATTTGTAATGATACGAAAGATCTAAACAATGCAATGAACACCTTTGATTTATTAGACACATAGGGAACACTGAATATATACACATTTATGAAAATAACACTCACAGTAGGTCATAGAGCAAGTCTCAACACATTAAAAGGAGTCAGTGTGACACCGTCTGTATTCTTTGTCTGCAGTATCACGAGGTAAGAGAACAAGATAACAGCCTCTTTCCCCAACTCTTGGAAATTAACAATGCACTTTCAAATGACTCATTGAGCAGAACGGAAATCGTAATGAAAGTTGAAAAATGTTTAGAACTAAAACATAATAAAATATTACATATTAAAACTGTGGGTTGTGGTAAATTTTATGTTATGTCTATTTTACCACAATTAAAAGCAATGCTAAAGTAGTATTGCCTTAAGAACTTGTATTAGGAACAAAATAAGACTAAAAATTCATGAACTAAGCATTCAAAACTAAGAAGTAAAGTAAGAACATCAGAACAAAGCAAAAGAAAGAAAAGAAACAATAAAGATAAGAATAGAAATTAATTAAATGGGAAACAAATGTATAGTAGAAAGGATTAACAAGACCAAAATTTGGCTCTTTGAAAAGGTGAGTAAAATTAATGAAACTGGGGAGCAATTGATTAAGAACAAAGTTTGAAGGCATAAATAATCAATATAGGATAAAAAAAGGGAGATAACAGAAATTAGAGAGGAGAGATTCAAAAGATATAAAATAATACTATGAATAGCTTTACACTAATGAATTTGAAAACCCAAGCAAAATGGGCAACTTTCCAGAAAAATATCTAAAGCATGACTCAAGAAGTAATAGTGGCCGGGCGCGGTGGTTCATGCCTATAATCCCAGCACTTTGGGAGGTCAAGGTGGGCAGATTGCTTGAGCTCAGGAGACCATCTTGACCAATATGGTGAAACCTCATCTCTACTAAAAATAAAAAATTAGCCGGGCCTAGTGGTGCCTGCCTGTAGTCCCAGCTACTTGCGAGGCTGAGGCATGAGAATCACTGGAACCCAGGAGGTGGAGGTGGCAGAGAGCTGAGATCACACCACTGCACTCCAGCCTAGGTGACAGAGTAAGACTCTGTCTCAAAAAAAAAAAAAAAAAAAAGGAATTCCAAATAGTCCTATACCCCTTAAAGAAATTGAATTAGTAGTTTAAAATCTACCCCTCTTCCCCCTCTCCCCCATAATTCTGAAACCAGGTCCAGATACAGATGGCTTTATAAATTTTATAAAATATTTAAGGGAGAGATAATGTAATATTATCCAAACTGGCTGGGCGCGGTGGCTCACGCCTGTAATCCCAGCACTTTGGGAGGCCGAGGCGGGCAGATCACGAGGTCAGGAGATCGAGACCATCCTGGCTAACACGGTGAAACCCTGTCTCTACTAAAAATACAAAAAATTAGCCAGGCGTGGTGGTGGGCGCCTGTAATCCCAGCAACTCGGGAGACTGGGGCAGGAGAATGGAGAATGGTGTGAACCTGGGAGGTGGAGGTTGCAGTGAGCCGAGATCGTGCCACTGCACTCCACCTGGGTGACAAAGCAAGACTCCATCTCAAAAAAAAAAACAAAACATAATATTACCAACTCTCATAATGAAACTAGTATAACCTTGATAACAACAACAACAAAAAAAGACAAAGACAATATAAGGAAAATGACCGGCCGATCTCCCCACCCTACCTGTAAATATTGGCAATTTCAAGCCAGCAATACACAAAAGGCGATGCATCATGACTGACTGAGTGAGGGTGTGACTGAAGCTGCTGTAACAAAAAGATCTGAAAACGCAGTGGCTTAAAGAAGCAAAAGTGTATTTCTCTCTCAGGTCTCGAGCTGAGTGGTCTGGCTCTATGTTGCCCCCACATGGTTCCAGGATTGTTCTGGCGTTTTTATTTCCTACTCCGTGGGGAGAGGGGAAAATGCTGTACAGGATAAATGGTTTAGCTTCCAAGGAGATGATGCAGAAGTTGCTGACATCACTTCCATTTGCACCTTTTTCCCCCAGACATGATCATAGGGCCCACTCTGCTGCAAGGGAGACTGAGAAATGTCTTTAGCTGGGTGAATGTGTGGCTAGCCCCAATGCTGGGATCTCTGTTATTAAAAAGAAGCAGAGAACGGTTGCTTAGGGATACTCAGCAATAGTCCCCATATTAACTAAATTAGACTTATCTGGGAATGCAAGGAGAATTGGACATCAGAAAATGTATTAATATAATTCACAACATTTCCATGGGTACAGAAAAAGACATTCAATCAAATTAAACGCTTAATAATGATAAAACAAAACTGCCGTTTCTAAGAATAGTAGGGAAACTTCTTTCAGTGACAATAATATCCACCAAAAGCCTGCAGTAGACATCAGGTTCAATGGTGAAACATTAGAAACAGTCTCTTTAAAATCAGAAATAAGACAAGGTTGCCTGCCAGCACTGATTCCCTTCAGCCCTGTAATAAAAGATCTAGACAAGCCAAGGAATTAACGTTATAAAAATTGGGAAGGAAGAAATAAAACTGTCACTTTTCATAAATGATAAGACTGTCTATAAAGACAGCTGTAGACTTGTTAGGAGCAAAATCTTTACATAAATTAGAATGAGAATTTCCATCCAGGTTTCTATATAAGTTCAATATACAAAATGTGACATTTTCCCTACGTATGGGCAACAAATAGAAAATTCAATTTAAAAAATATTAGTTATAATGGCACTGAAAGTAATAAGGTATCAAGGAATGAATCTTTCAAAAAATGTGCATGACCTTTCCGGGGGGAAATTATAAAACTTAATTGAAAGATATAAAGAAGCAATATACCATGTTAATGGACAGGAAGACTCAATATATAAAGATGTCACTTCTCCCCAAGTTCCTCTAGAAATTGAATACAATTCTAATCAGAATCCTCACACAGTTTTTCTTGGAACTTGACAAGCTTATTATGAACTTTATATGAAAGAGCAAAGTGTCAGTGGTAACGATAACAATTTTGAAAACATTCAAGAGTGGATGATTTGCTCTGCTGGGTATAAAGATCTGATATAGAACTTCAGTAGTTGGCTGGGTGCAGTGGCTCACGCCTGTAAGTCATACCAGCACTTTGGGAGGTCAAGGCGGGCAGATCACCTGAGGTCAGGAGTTCAAGACCAGCTTGGCCAACATGTGAAACCCTGTCTCTACTAAAAATACAAAATTAGCTACATGTGGTGGCAGGCGCCTGTAATCTCAGCTATTTGGATGCTGAGGCAGGAGAATCACTTGAACCTGGGAGGTGGAGGATGCAGTGAGCCGAGATGGTGCCGTCGCACTCCAGTCTGGGCAACAGGAGTGAAACTCCGTCTCAAAAAAAAAAAAAAAAAAGAACTGCAGTAATTGAGGCAGTGTTTTACCGGCTTGAGGGTGGACCAAGAGTCCAATAGATGGAGAGGCTAGGAAAAGACTCATGCACTTATAGACTCTTGACATGTGATATGATTTGGATCTGTGTCCCCATCTAAATCTCATGTCAAATTGTAATCCCCAACAGTGGAAGTAGGGCCTGGTGGGAGGTGATTGGATCATGGGGGCGGAGTTTGCATGAATGGTTTAGCACCATCCTTCTTGGGTACTGTATAGTGAGTGAGTTTTTGTGAGATCTGGTTGTTTGAAAGTGTGTGGCACCTCTCACCCCCTTGGTCCTGTTCTTGCCATGGAAGATGTCTGTTTCCACTTTGCCTTCCACCACGAGGCCCCCCCAGAAGCAGATGCCACCATGCTTCCTGTGCGGCCTGTGATACTGTGAGCCAGTTCAACCTCTTTTTCTTAGTAAATTACCCATTCCCAGATATTTCTTTATAGCAGTGGAACTGTGAGATGCGAGATGGCTTGACCACAGCTTACTGGGCAAAAAGCAGGCAGAGCTACTCAATAAATGGTTCTGGAACAATCAGTCATGGAGATAATGATGTTAAATACATATCACACAGGCCAGGTGCGGTGGCTCACGCCTGTAATCCCAGCACTCTGGGAGGCCGAGGCGGGCAGATCACCAGAGGTTGGGAGTTCGAGATCAGCCTGGCTAACATGGTGAAGCCCCATCTCTACTAAATATACAAAATTAGCTGGGTGTGGTGGTGCGTGCCTGTAATCCCAGCTACTTGGGAGGCTGAGGCAGGAGAACCGCTTGAGCCCCGTAGGCAGAGGTTGCAGTGAGCTGGGATCATGCCACTGCACTCCAGCCTGGGTGACAGAGTGAGACTCAGTCTCCAAAAATAAAATAAAATACAATAATAAAAAAATACATATCACACAAAAACTAAAAACAGTCAATAATCTCACCACACCCTAAATTCCGTCTGAAGTGTGTAAAGACCTACTCATATTTATTTTCTTTTTTCTTTCTTGAGACAGGGTCTCACTCTGTTGCCCAGGCTGGAGTACAGTGGTATGATCATGGCTCACTGCAGCCTCGACCTCCCAGGCTCAAGCGACCTGCCCACCTTAGCCTCCTGAGTAGCTAGGACTACAGGCATGCACCAACACATCTGGCTAATTTTTGTATTTTTTGTAGAGATGGGGTTTCACCATATTACCCAAGATGGTTTCAAACTCCTGGGCTCAAGTGATCTATGTGCCTTCATCTCCCAAAGTGCTGGGATTGCAGGCATGAGCCACTGCACCTGACAAGACCTGTTTATGAAAAGCAAAACTTTAAAAGAAAATGAGGATATTCGTCTTCATGAAATTGGGGGAAGGAAAGGAATTTTTAAGTAAGATTCACTCCAAAAAACACAAGTCATTATGATGCAGGGCAGGTGAGCCTCCAAATTGGGGCTTAGCTTTGGAAGGTTCTTGGGTTCTCTCAGGAAGGAATTCCGTGCTGAGCTGACGGTGGAAGAAAACAGCTTTATGGAGGTGGCAGTGTTACAGCTGCGCGAGTGCCCCTGCAGAGTAGGGCTACCTGACGGGCAGTGTACTGAGAGCAGCAGCTCAGGGGCAGTTCCACCGTCATATTTATACCCACTTTTAGTCACATGCAAATTAAGGGGTGGGGTATTTAGAACTTTCTAGAAAAAGGGTGGTAGTTTCCGGGCTGTTGCTATGGAAAGGGGTGGTAACGTCCGGGTGTTGCCATGGCAATGGTAAACTGACATGGCGCTGCTGGGCATGTCTCATGAAGAGGTGCTTTCGCCTCGTCCCCATTTCTGCTAGTCCTCAGTCTGGTCTTGAGTCAAACCCTGCCTCCTACCTCAATTAGGAGAGAAAGTGGAAATTTGACTACATGCAGATAAAAATTGTGTCTATTAAATGTCACAACATATTAAAAGACATCCCACGGACTGGAAGAAAGTATGAAATGCCTCTAGCAATTCAAATGAAAATCAGAATATGCAAAGAGCTTCTCCAAATAAATGTAAGAGAAGGATAAATACTGGGCCTGGCACAGTGGCTCACGCCTGTAATCCCAGCACTACCTGGGAGGCAGAAGTGGGTGGATCACCTGAGGTCAGGAGTTTGAGACCAGCCTGGCCAACATGGTGAAACCCCATCTCTACTAAAAATACAAAAATTAGCCGGGCATGGTGGCGTGTATCTTTAATCATCGCTACTCAAGAGGCTGAGGCAGAAGAATCGCTTGAACCTGGGAGGCGGAGGTTGCAGTGAGCCGAGATCACGACATTGCACTCCAGCCTGGGCAACAAGAGTGAAACTCCATCTCAAAAAATAAAATAATAAAATAAAATAAATAAAATAAAATAGATAAATGCTCCAATAGAGAAATGGAGAAAAGTGAAGAAAAAGCAATTTATGGAACAGGAAACACAAGGTCCAGTAATCACTTACAATGATGCTTAATACCACTGGGAATCAGTTAATATAAATTAAAACCTCAGTGAGATGCCAATTCACACCCATCTAGCTGGCAAAAGTATGAAGTCTTACAGGCCAAGCATGGGCTGGGAGTAGACGAGGAGGCCCCTGGAGATGGGCGTAGCACTGTCCGTTGAAGTGCAAGATATGTGTGTGTATGCTAAACCTCACACACCAGCCCAGGAGCACATGGATGTTCACAGCAGAATCGTTTGTAGTGCAAACATTGCAAGCCACTTACAAATCCTGGCCCGGGAGATGTAGGCTGCAGTGAGCCATGATTGCACTCCAGCCTGGGCAACAGAGTGAGACCCTGTCTCAAAAAAGGAAAAACGAAATAAATATGAGTAGGTCTTTACACACTTTGGACAGAATTTAGGGTGTGGCGATATATTGACTGTTTTTAGTTTTTGTGTGATATGTATTTAATGTCATTATCTGCATGAATTGGATAAATAACATTTCAATACATTCATATACTGGAATATTTACCAGAAAAATAACTAAACTGGAACTCTAAGTTGAACATTTCCCAGCACACTGCTGGGTGGGACTGTGCCTCCCAAATTCGAAGGCCTGTGGTGAGGAGGAGGGAGCTGACTGACCCTGAGTGGCCCCAGAACAAGAGGTAGCACCTCTATGAGGACAATCCAAGGGAAGGATTTGGGCTGAAAATGAGGAAGGGTTTTCTAACAGGCCAGGCTAGCCAGGAGTGAAAGAGACTGCCCCTTAAGGGAATGAGCTCCCTGTCATTGAAGGTATGTAAGCAGGGACTGGGCAGCTGCATCATGGGCAGTGAGCCAAGCATTGTCTATCAATGGCACAAGGGTGGGTTGAATACAGATGGCCTTAGGCCCCTTCTAAGCATGCCCAGAGGCCTCGTGGTTCTGTGATTCAGTGAGTTTGCAAAGTGTAGTCAAAAGAGGATGGGACTAAATGAATAACCAAATGTGACACATCCCTGCGGTGGGACACTACTCACTAATAAAAGGGACAGACACACCATGACACATGTAACAACAAGATGAATCTCGAAAATATGCTGTGTGAAAGGGCCTTGGATGAGATGCCACACCGTGTGATGCCGTTTATGTGAAATCCTAGAAAACGCAAAGTAATCTACAGAGGCAAAAAGCAGATCGGAGCTTGTGTGTGTGAGCTGGGCGGTGGCTGGGGGCGTGGGGAGGGAGAAACAGGGAGAGGTGGGCTGCAGGGGGGTGCAAGGAAGCTTTTCAAAGTGATGGAAGTGTTCTGTGATGTTCTGTATCTTGGGAGGTTCCATGGGTGCATATATCTGTCAAAATGAATGGAATTATATGCTTTAAATGGATCACTTATTGTATTCAAATTATACTTCCACATAGATACTTTTTTTTTTTTGAGACGGAGTCTCGCTCGGTCGCCAGGCTGGAGTGCAGTGGTGCGATCTCAGCTCACTGCAACCTCTGCCTCCCGGGTTCAAGCCATTCTCCTGCCTCAGCCTCCTGAGTAGCTGGGACTATAGGTGTACGCCACCATGCCCAGCTAATTTTTGTATTTTTAGTAGAGACAGGGTTTCACCACGTTGACCAGAACGGTCTCCATCTCTTGACCGCGTGATCTGCCCGCCTCGGCTCCGAAAGTGCATATGGATACTTTTAAAAAAAGAACTAAAAGGCGAGGAGGGCTGGAGCAGAGGTCAGTGCCGCTGCATCATGGACTTGGTCACGTAGACTTGGGCCTGACTGCTGTCGTCCAAGTGGCTTCACTCCTCCATCTGGCCATCCTGCCAACCCTGGCCTGTCCACACAATCCCAGGACCACCTGCAGATGGGGGACATTCCCAGAGAGTGGTTCCAGGGCTCCTGTGTCATTCTCGGTGTGGGTTAGAGTGCTTCAGGGATAGCTTTCTGTTCTTCCATGTTTTGTATTCACTACAGTACCAAGCCCAGAGCTGGGTATTCAGGTGGTGTATCATTGATGCATGCAGAATGAAGGAGAGAATCAATGGCTTAAGCTAAGGAGAATTTTTGCTTGGGCTGCCCTGGAGAAGTGGCTTTCTTGGGAGGGAGGGCAGTTGCAATTTTAGGACCGTCATGGCCATGTACAGTTGAGTGGGTTGTGTACTGCAAAAAAAAAAAAAAAAAAAAAAAAAAGGCCGGGCGCGGTGGCTCATGCCTGTAATCCCAGCACTTTGGGAGGCCAAGGCGGGTGGATCACGAGGTCAGGAGATCAAGACCATTCTGGCCAACATGGTGAAACTCTGTCTCTACTAAAAATACAAAAAAATTAGCTGGGTGCGGTGGCACGCGCCTGTAGTCCCAGCTACTCGGGAGGTTGAGGCAGGAGAATTGCTTGAACTCGGGAGGCGGAGGTTGCAGTGAGCCGAGATCACGCCACTGCACTCCAGACCGGCGACAGAGCGAGACTCTGTCTCAAAACAAACAAACAAACAAACAAACAAAACAAAACAAAAAACAACAATCTCTGCTCTAGTAGGTGAACGAAGGATAAAACTCAGTATCTACACTGCTTTCCAAGTCAGGTGGCTGCACCCATTGGCTGTGCATTCCTAAAGAAGCGCATTATTCTTTTCTCTTCCCTTTTTTAAACAAAAAAATGTTTTATTCTGGAAGAATTTTAGATGTACAGGAAAGGTGCAAAGATAGCAGGAGTGTTCACATACATTTTCACCCAGTTTCTCTCTATGCTAACATCATTTGTGTAACCACGGTATATTTGTCAAAACTAAGAAATTACTATTCTTAACAATACTATCAAAAATTTCAGACTTGATTTGGATTTTACTACTTTTTCCACTGATGTTCTTATTTTTATTTTATTTTATTTTATTTTATTTTTTTGAGACGGAGTTTCACTCTTGTTGCCCAGGCTGGAGTGCAATGGTGCGATCTCGGCTCACTGCAACCTCTGCCTCCCGGGTTCAAGCAATTCTCTGCCTCAGCATCTTGAGTAGCTGGGATTACAGGTGCCCGCCACCACGCCTCGTTAATTTTTTGTATTTCTAGTAGTGACGGGGTTTCACCATATTGGCCAGGCTGGTCTCAAACTCCTGACCTCAGGCGATCCACCAGCCTCGGCCTCCCAAAGTGCTGGTATTACAGGCGTGAGCCACCACACCCGGCCTGATGTTCTTTTTTTTTTAAAGCTAATTTAATCGTTTAAATTGCTTCAAGAAGCTGCATTTATAGATGAAACACTTGTTTCTTTTTCCCCCTTCAAGAACTAGAAATGAATTCTTTTAAAAAATGTATTAAAAATTTTTAATTTGTAATTGACACATAATAATCGTACATATTTATGGGGTACAATGTGATGTTCCAATGCATGTATACACCGTATAATGATCAATCAAATCCAGGTAATTCCCACATCCATCACTTTTAATATTTATCATTTCTTTGTTGCGACATTTGAAACCTTCCCTTCCAGCTGTCTTGAAATATGCACGAGATTGAGATTTGCTGTAGTCACCCTACTGTGTAACAGGACACCAGAACTTACTCTTTCTGTCTTACTGAAGCTCCACAAATGTTCTTTTTCTGTTCCAGGTTCTAATCTGGGGTACCGCACTGCATTTAATACATTATTATTATTATTTAAATTAACACAGAGGTTGCCCCGTGGACTAGCAGTGGATGGAAAAAGAAAGGGGCATAGAGAAGTATCCAGAACAAAGTCCTCAGGTGGCCTGTGAGGGAGGAAGCCCCAGGGTGGTCACGGGGCACACCTGGCCTCTCTGACCCACAGTCTCAGCACAGCGTATGCAAAGTGCAGAGGAAAGACACCGGTTTGCTGGTAGCTTTAACAGTTGACTTGCCCAGCGCTTGAGGAAGTTGCATTTCCCTTTCTGTAAAAGTCAATGTTGTGAACCCAGTAACTTGTGTGAATTGCTCTGAAAAGGTTCAGCCTCCGGGTGCCTGGTGGGAATCCTGCGCTCTGCCAGCCAGCAGGCCCTGGCCCTCTGCACCCTCCTTTGGAGTTCCTGGCTTGTCCCGAGTGACGAGTCCAGGGTGGGTGACCAGTGGCTCTTCCTCTCCCCGCCCCTCCGTCCCTTCCCCCCGGAGCTGGAAAGGTGTGTGGGTGGGGAGTGATAGCAATGAACAGTGAACTTGGTGCCAACTGGGGTGGTCGAATATTCACCCGAGTCCACGTGGAGAGCCCTCGTGGCGAAGGGAGCGCCCTGCAAGCTGCAGAACTCAGGTTTTGTCCCTTCAAACAGCAGCCGGAGCCAATAGCTGCAGCTTGGAGAAGAGCTTGGAGTCACCTGAGCCTAGGGCTGGTTTCAGGCTAGGTGGTCAAATGACTTCTCAGACCCTCAGTTTTCGCATCAGGGAAATGGGCCACAGTTCTAGCTCCAGGGTGCCTGGTCCCCCAGGGCGGCCTCAGAATAGGCTTGGCTCCTGTGGGGCACTGCCCGCCACTTCCCCTCAATGTGCCCTTCTCCATCAGCGGACCCCACCTTCCCTTCCTGCCTCATCGCCCCACATCCTCCCACCCAGGGACTCCCACACAGGCCCTTGCCTGGGGGAGCCTCTGGGTCCTGGCTCAAGCAATCTCCCCCCACCTGGAGTTCCCTCTTTAGGGCGCACGTTTCAAGAGCCAGCTCCAATGCTAGCTTGCAGGCCCCCAGCTCTCCATCTCGGTAACCCTGAGGTCCTCTCTGTAGATTCCCCCGTTGCCTCAATCACTTCCTGTCTCTGTTATGATCTCCCATGATGAAGTCATGCCTCCCTCTCTGCAAAGGGTATAAACTCCAGGGACCAGCTGTCTCTTGCATCCTGGGATCACCAGCACCTGGTACTGTGCCTGGCACACAGCAGGCACTCATTAAATGCTCTGCTTAGAATTGAAGTGCACTGAATTCTTGGAACCCTCAAGTTCTTGGAGAACAGCCTCTGGGCCCGCCCCGTGGACAGGAAGTGAGCCTCCCAGCACAGAGGGCCCCCAGGTCTCCTGCTGGAGCCTCCACGCAGGGGGCCTGTGGGGATGGCCAGGGCTCAGCCCAGCACCTGAGCGCCCCTCCCACCAGCTGCTCTGCCAGACCGCATGCTCCGCCCCCTGCAAACGACCGTGGGGAGAGCAGCTTGAGTAAGTTCCCCTTCCGTTTCCTCCTGCCCCACCACCGCTGCTCCTCAGCAGGCGCCTCACCAGCCTCCACACCCCTTGCGCCCGCAGAAACGCGCCTGGCCCTGAGCTGTCACCACCGACACTCTCCAGGCTCCGGACACGATGCAGGCCATCAAGTGTGTGGTGGTGGGAGATGGGTAGGTACCTGGCTGGACTTCCTCACAGCCCCCAACTGGGATGCCCTGAGATCCTTCCGCCCTGGTGCCCCTGGGGAAGCCCCTGGCCCTGCAGAACTAGGCGTCCCTGGAAGGCAGCTTGGAGGGGACGCTTCCTTCTCCGAGGGCCCACAGGGAGCACCCGGGGGTGGGCTGAGGGGAGCTTCACCCTCTTCAGCCCCACCCCACCCCAGAAGCCATCTCGGTGGAGGGTGCAGGACTATGGGTGAGAGTGCCCAGGGCTCCTCACCTGCACCCCAAAAGCTGGGGGCAGGTCTCCCACGGAGGCAAGCCTCAGTCTTTACTCTGTGGATGCAGGAGGGAAGTGGGAAACCTGAAATTCAGCCTTTGTCCCCAGGCTGACCTGGGCTGTCGTCACTGGCTTGGTGCCGCTGTGTGGCCTTGGGCAAGTCACAGCACCTCTCTGAACCTCAGCTTATTCATCTGGGAGGAGGCCTATGCCCTGGGGATGCTGTGGGGTCGCTTGAGATAAGCTGAGTGGCTGTCTTGCTTGTAGTATGTGCCTTCTAGCACCCCCTCCACTTTCTCTCCCCTCCCCTCAGCCTACCGGGTTGGGGAGGATGTGTGGGGGATGTGGGTGAGGAGCAGAAGAGGCAAGGGGACATTGAGAGACAGAGAGGGAAGGAGGAGGCTAAAGGATGGGAGGGTGATTGTGGGGTCGGCAGGGGAGGGGCAGGCTGGGCTGAGACCCTTCTCAGTTGTCAGATCCCAGTGACTTCAGGCTGTCTTGTCCCCTGGGGGCCTCAGTTTCCTCATCTGTAAAATGACAGGTCCAGGCCAGGTGCAGTGGCTCATGCCTGTAGTCCTAGCATTTTGAGAGGCCAAGATGGGAGGATTGCTTGAGGCCAGGAGCTTGAGACCAGCCTAAGCATCATAGCGAGAACCTATGTCTATAAAAAAATTTTTTTAAGCCAGGAGTGGTGGCATATGCGCCTGCAGTCCCAGCTACTGGGGAGGCTGAGGTGGGAGAATCGCCTGAGCCCGGGAGTTTGAGGCTGCAGTGAGCTATAATGGTGCCACTGCAGTCAGCCTGGGTGACAGAGCAAGACGCTGTCTCTTAAAAAAACACAAAATAAAAGGACAGGTCCAATTTGTCAATCTGTCATGCCTGCCAGCAGCCACATCTTAGGGTCCAGCCTACAGGCTCACCCTGGAGCATGTTCTAGCTGGAAGGGGGCCTCCTGTCCAGCCTTCCCATTCTACAGAGGAGCAGCCCAAGGCTTTGAGAGACTCAGCTCTCCTGGCCTGGGCCCTGTGGCCCCGACTTTGGCTGTGACCCATCTAGGTGGGGGCGGGCCCATTTGTCCACCAGCCTCAGCTGATTCTGATGCATGGCTCCTTATCTGCCCTCGCCTGCCCCAGCCCTGTTCACTTCTGCTTTGTATCTGATCGGAGGAGGGGCGGGCGGAAGTCAAGGGTTAACGTTCCAGTCATTCAAAATTACCTCGGTGGCAGGCCCAGGGGAGGGCGATGGTAGGAGGAGAGGATGAGCTGTCTTCTCTGAGCAGGAAGTGACAAAACCACGCAGGGCAGGGGAAGGCCCAGAGCTGTCCCTTGGCCTCTGGGCTTCGGCTGAGCTACCTGCACCCGCTCCCAGCCTCGCATGCTGAGGGTGGAGGAGGCGCGCGTTATCACTTCCTTCCTATGTACCAGCTCTGGGGTTAATCTAGCCTTCTCTATTTATCCTCTCACCAAACCTAATAGGTCCATTTTACAGGTGGGAAAATGAAAGTTCAGGGAAGCTAAGTAATTTGCCCAAAGCCTCACAGGATTTGAACCCAGACCACTCTGACTCAAACCCTGACCTGGTAACTGCTCTGCTCCACGGGGGAGGTGAGAGGGAAGAGCAGGGTCAGGTCTTCCCTAGCAGCCATCGGCTGCTGCCATGCATCAGGCCCTGTGCTCAGTGCTTTGATAGGCCTCGTTGGATTTACTCCTCAGCACACTCCTATGAGGATGGGCTCATCTCTATTTTCTAGATGGAGAAACTGAGGCAGAGGCAGGTTAAGTGACTTGTCCAAGATCATACCACTGGTAGGTGGTACAGCTGGGATTTGAAGCCCAGGTCAGGCGTCGGGGGCCCCTCGGCATTGCCTGGGTCTGCTGGGCACCCTCTGTCCCACATCACTGGCCCCTGGAGAAGCCTGTGGGAAAAGCGGATTGCCAGCTCTGCGCACACCTGTGGATCAGAATCTCTGGGGCTGGACCCTGAAGTCTCCACTTTAACAAACATCCACATGACTTGCAGGCTCTCGGGTGTGAGAACACAGACAGGGGGCATCTCACATGGGGAGACGGAGGCCCAGAGGGCTAGGCTGGGTGGATGCTGAGGTCTTTGCAGAGGACCAGGCAGAAACCTCCCCACGTCTCCGGCAGAGCCCATGACCGCCGCCCTCTTGCACTTCCTGTCTTTCAGGGCCGTGGGCAAGACCTGCCTTCTCATCAGCTACACCACCAACGCCTTTCCCGGAGAGTACATCCCCACCGTGTGAGTTCCTGGGGATATGTGGGGTGGTGGGAGGAGGGGAGAGACCGTCACCAAGTCGACCCCCCTTTCAGGCACTTCCTGTGGGCCAGACCCTGTGTGGGCACCCACAGCCTCCAGCCCAGTGGAGCTGCCTGACAGTCCAGCCAAGAAGGCAGCACTGGCGCTGAGAGGTGCTGGGGGCTCCCAGAACCCGGGATGGGGTATGGAGGAAGGGGTAGAAGGGAGGAGGGGTGGCCTTTAGGCTGGGCCTCCAAGCAAAGGGACGTGGAGGAGAAGGCTGGCTCAGGCAAGAGCAGGAGCTGGGAGAGGAGCTTCTGCGGAAGCAGGCTGCTGGAGGAGGTGATCCAGAGAGCCTGACTCCAAGGAACAGGGACACCTGGGGACAAGGCATGCTGAGGGGTGGAACAGAGCTGTCTGCAGGCCTGGGAGGCCCTGCGCTCTATTGCAGGATGCGGAGGCAGGGCTGTCATCGGACGTGGAGGGAGCGTGTTGGTGTCAGACTCAGGAGGGAAGGATGACTGGGGAGGCACCAGCCCCTCCCTGGCCAGCCCTCAGGGGTCCCCATCACTCCTAGGACATTTCCCCGACTCCCTAGCATGGCACTCAAGGCTCCTGATGGCCTTCACTCAACCTCCCACCTGGCCTTATTACCCATTACTTTGCTTCACACTCTGCCTCCTCCGGACCCTACTGTTCGCCACAAGCTCCCTGCACATTTCTACCCCAGGGCCTTTGCTCAAGCTGTTCTCTCTCCCCATAGTGCTTTTTCTCCCCACATCCACCTGTCTAAAGCCTCCAGGCGCAGCTCCAGTGCCCCCTCCTCCGGGAAGCCTTTCTGATCTACCACGAAGGGGTCTCCACTCCCCAGAGTGACTTTATCTGATCTCTCCCATGACTATGAGCCTGTGGAGGGCAGGGAGCCATGGCCAGCTCTTTGTGGGTCTCCCATTATCTCAGCACAGTGTCTTCTACATGGTATGACACATGCATTACCTTACACACAACACATGTGTTTTGAGTTGACCTGACTTGGACATCGTGGGAAGGACCACAGGAAGATCGATCATAGCCACCATCTAGCAAAGGCCTGCCACATGCTGGCCCCTGCGCAAGATGTCACACATGTGTGATCTCATTTGATCCCCCTGGGAGATGGCTATTAGCATGCACAGGACACCCATGGGGAAGCTGAGCCTCACAGCCACTAAGAGGCTTGCCTCCCAGGCTTACACGGTCCTGTCCAGCTTCAGAGCCAAGGTCCATGCAGAACCTCGCGGGGGCCCTCATTTCTTGATCTTAATGAACCCCCCTTTCAGGGGCAGGGATCAGGCTCTCCTAGGAAGAGGAGGGCAGGCAGAAGGGAGAAGAGAGCCTGGAGCCGAGATGCTTCCAACCCACCCCAGAGGATTCCTCACTACCCAACCCCCAACCCCAGACTTGGGTGGGCTGGGCTCTCTCTGCTGCTGTCTCTCCCCGGGACACTCTGCTCAGCTGCCTTAGATGCCCTGGCCCAGGCTAGAGGAAGGCAGGCAGCCAGGAGAGGGCAGGGAAACCCTAGCAGAGAGCCTAGAAAGCCGCTTTTGCCCCAGCTCGGTCCTGATGCTGGTGAGTGCCCCTCTCTGGTCCTGTCCTTATATACAAAATGGGAACAAGGATTCCTGCCCACTCACCATCAACTATCAAACGTTTATCAGGTGCCTCTAAGTGCCAAGGGAGGGCTGGCTGCAAACCTGAGCAGGGAGGGAGAATTAGGTGAGGCAGCTCCTGCTCAAGGCCATGGTCACCAGCAGTGTGTTGTCACTGCCTCTGTCCCTGGGTCTCTGGATGCTGGCTTGAGACCTTGTCCCGCCTTTGTGCATCTTGGCTGAGTTGAAGGACCCACTTGCTGAAGGACCTTGGACCAATCACTTCCCCTCTCTGAGCCTCAATCTCCTTTTCTATAAGAGGTAGAGGCTTGGAAGTCCCAAGCTCCTTCCCCAGGCACCTCCCTTGTACGTTGAGATGGATGGCTGAGGCTGCTGAGGCCAGGTTATGGCCAGGTGCTCTCAGCAGCCTGGAGGTCCCTGATCCCTGGTGGCCCCTAGTGGACTTTGTTGTCCTGGACAACATCACAGAAGCTGGAGAAATAGGCCCGACCAGATCTACCTTCCCAAGTCTCTCCGAAGGATTGGGTGAAGGTATCCCAGTAGGGCCAGCTCTATGCGTGTGGCCACCTATCCAATTGCACAGGGCCCCATGCTCAGAAGGGTCCTGCACCTTGTTTAATACTCTGATGTCTACATCTTGAAATTCTTAATCATTTTTGAGCATGGGCCCTGTACTTCCATTTTGCACTGGGTCTTGCAAGTTCTGTGGTGAATCCTGCCTCACACCCTCATATGGCTTCAGGCACAAAGTTTCTCAGCCCCAGACGAGACCCCAGAGCGGGATCCTGCTACTGCCAATGCCTGTGCCCCTGTGAAGGGAGGGTAAAATAGTCACACTGGGCCCTTGACATTGGAGGGGGAAGAGGGAGAGAAGGTGGGTTGGGAAAAACAGGCAGCCCCAAATCTCTGGCACCTGAGATTAAGGTGGAGAGAGCTTCTGGGCTGAGGATGGTAGGTTTGCTGGGGGTTGGGGAGGCCCCTGCTGCAGATACAAGATCAGATAAGCCTGAGAGCTGGCTCCCCATGCTGCCAGCCATGAGGGGTTAACAGCAAAGGGATGGACCTGAACCTTCGGAACTGACACCTTCCTGAGCAGCCAATCAGTTGCCAGGACTCGTGGGGCTGCACCGTGATTGGCTCTTGCCGCCTGCTCTGTTGTATAGACCCTATATTGGAGCCGGCAGGGCCCTGTGAGTTCTTTGCATCAAATCCCCCGTTTCGCAGATGGGGAGCCTGAGTCTGCTCTGTGGATGGCCCCGTGCTAGGTGTTGGGGATACAGAAACATGGCAGGAAGACAGTGCCCTCGTGTGCCTGTGGCATAGAGGGGCGCCCCCTTACACCTCACCTCGTTAGAACCAAGCTCGACGGAAGCCCTGGTGAGCTTTTAAAACTGAAAGTTAGGCTGGGCGCCGTGGCTCATGCCTGTAATCCCAGCACTTTGGGAGGCTGAGGCAGGCAGATCGCTTGAGCCCATGAGTTCGAGACCAGCCTGGGCAACATGGAGCAGAAACCCCATCTCTACAAAAAATACAAAAATTAGCCGGGCATGGTGGTGCATGCCTGTAGTCCCAGCGACTCGGGAGACTGAGGTGGGAGGATCGCTTGAGCCTAGGAGGGTGCGGCTGCATTGAGCTGTGATTGTGCTACTGCACTCCAGCCTGGGCAACAAAGTGAGACCCTGTCTCAAAAAATAAAATAAAATAAAAAGAGCCTCCCAAAAAACAACTGAAAGTTAACCTGGCCTAAATCTCTCCTGTGGCTCCCTTCACACTTAAAACTCATCTTAATGCGCAAACCGTGAACAACAGCCCCCGTCTCCCCAGCCTCATTTACCACACCCCTTACCCACTTCACTCCAAGTACACAGACTGCCTTGATGATCTCTGCCTCCCCCGAACCTCTTCACTCCCCTTTATGACACCCAGAACCCTCCCTGCTTCCTGTCATTCAGTTCCCTGCTTAAACATCGCCTCCTTGACCCCCTGTCTACAGCAGCCCCCCGTCTCCAACCTGCCCTCTCCATCCCACCACCCTGCTTGGCTGTCTTCATAGGCCCCCCGACAGCCCGACTTCATCTTGCTGCTCCTTTGCTGCCACTCCTCCTCTTGGATGGAAGCTCCCTGAGGACGGGGCCCTTATCTGCCTCACTCCCTGCCATCGCGCCAGTTTCTAGAACAGAGCTGAGCCCATTCCTGTTGCTCCGTCATGACTGCCTCCCCGACCCCGGGGAGGAAGGCAGGGCTCAGCTCTGCATGGAAGAATGTGTGCTGCTAATTGAGGTTGAATCATTTGGCACTTAATTTTCACTTTCATTTGAAATCCTCTCTTCGGTAAACTGGCGAATCCAGCCTGGGATTCCAGTGGACAGGATGACATCAGCCTCCCTAGCTGTGTGCGCCAGGCCCCACCAGGTTCTGCCTGGCCTCTCGGCAGCCCCATCCCTGCTCCTGCCGCTGTGTGTGTGGGTGCCTCATGATGTCCAGTGGCTCAAGCCTCTGCCTTAGCTCAGGCACCCCTTCTGTTGGGTATTCTGTTCCCTCCTGCTCCACCTCTCCCTGCCCCGTGACACCTCCAGCTGCCTTCATCTTTCAACCAATAGCACGGTAAGGGCCTCCCCTCCTGGCTGATGTGCCAGTTTCCCCCTCTGTTCCCCTCTGGCCCCTCCCTAAGACTTCTCCAAGAGGGTCCCTCCCTCCCTCCCTCCTTCCCTCCCTCCCTTCCTCCCTCCCTTCCTCCCTTCCTTCCTTCCTTCCTGACGGAGTCTCGCTGTGTCACCAGGCTGGAGTGCAGTGGTGCGATCTCGGCTCACTGCAACCTCTGCCTCCCGGGTTCAAGCGATTCTGCTGCCTCAGCCTCCCAAGTAGCTGGGACTACAGGCATGCACCACCACACCCAGCTAAGTTTTGTATTTTTGGTAGAGACAGGGTTTCACCATGTTGGCCAGGATGGTCTCGATCTCTTGACCTGGTGATCCACCTGCCTCAGCCTCCCAAAGTGCTGGGATTACAGGCGTGAGCCACCGTGCCCAGCTGGGACCTTTTATAAATGCAAATCTGATCTCATCACCTCTGCCTGGCTTGGCCCCTTGCTGGTTCCCCATTGCCCTGAGAACCAAGACCTGACTGGTCCGTGCCCCTATGACATCAATCCTTTCTCACCCCCAAGTCACTAGCCATGCGTGCCCTGTGGTCTCTGGGTTCCTTGAATGCACCATCCTTCCTCCGTGGGGGTGGGCTTCGGTGGTGGTCAGGTGATACCTGGGTGCTGGGGCCCCTTCCACCTGCCCCATTCCCCTCCTCCACTCCATTCTAGGGCCAGGCCTCAGAGTTCTACAGGCACTAGATGAAAACATGGTCTCTGCTCTCTCCAACTCCATTTCCAGCCATGAAATAGCAGCGATGCTTACCATGTGGGCCTTTCTGAATTGGGTAACAGGATCTAGCCTTGCTCTGCCACCCACTGGCTGGGAGATCTTGGGCAAGTCCCTTCCTCTCTGTAAGCCTCAATTTCTTCATCCGGAAAATGGGGTGAGGGTTGCCCATGGTGGTCTGTGCATAAGGTTCCTCTCTGGTCCTGGCTGCCTGTGGGTCTCTTAAGTAAGGGGGACCCTCAGGGGTGTCACACCATTGACACATTCCTGCACCTGTCCCTCTGGTCCTCTGGGGAGGGGCCCTGTGGCAGGGGCATTTGGGGACATGGAAAATGAGACTGCTTAGCTTCTCAGCATCTCCCAGTGGGGTGGCTTGAACATCCTCTGTTTTTTTGGATTCTCCTAATGGCTCCAAGAAATAGGTATTTTCCCCTCCACATTAAAGAGATTGAGGCTCAGAGAAGTTAGGTCACTCACCCAGGGTCACACAGCCAGGATGTCCTGGCTTCCCAAGGAACTCTGTGTTCCCGCCCAACAAGAAAGGTCCTTGACCTCTTCAGGCCTCAGTTTCCTCATCTGTCTAATGGGGGTAACTTAAGATCCTTTTGTCTTGGATCACATGAGACTTCAAGACCTAACATACAAAGACCCTCAGCCCCCTGCCTGGCCTCAGAGAAGGTGGCTGTTGCTTCTCAAGGTCCCAGCTCTTTCCCCATCACCGTGGCCCTGAGATTCCAGGGATGACCCAGAGGAGACAGGTGAATCTTGTGGGGCTTCTTGGCACTAGCACTGTGGCTGGACATTAGAGGAGAGAGTGTCCAAGCATTTCCCAAAAGTGTGTTTCTGGTCAAAACTGGAAAAACAACACAGGTGTGGCTTTTCCCATCATGCCTCACTGTGTCTCCCTGGACAGCGCCTTCTTCCTGAAATCCCACAGCAGTGTAGGTGGTACCCAGAGTAGGTGCACGCCAGCACCTGCTGTGCACCAGACCGCGGGCTGGCCCCAGGGTGCAGCGGCAAACAAATGAGGCTTAGTGCCTGCCACCTGGGATGCTGAGTTCCCCAAGGAGTGCTGGTTTAGGTGGGGTGGTAGCCCCGACATGGCTGGAAGTCAGGAAAGGCTTCTTGGAGGAGGTGACATTGAGCAGGGGCTGGAGGGATGAGTAAAAGTCAGCCAGCCTGGCAGTGGGGAGGAAGAGAAGGGAGAGAGGAAGGAGAGTGGGAAGTCAGGGGCCACTGTTTGCAGGCACTTTCCAGACAGGCGGGAACAGGGCCGTTTGAGGAACTGAGAGGTAACCAGGAATTCTGTCCAGGGCTGGACAGGCAAAGTGTATTAAAAAGGCTGGGCTGCCCACTTTTTGGGGGTGTGGGGGACTCCTCTCAGGAGAGGTGTCTTTTGTGTTACTCTGAAGTGTTAGCGCTTCTGCAGCCTAACATTGAGTAGCGTTCTCTGAGGACTTCCTGGAGGAGGTGGTTTAATTCCCTTCCACCTGCATTCACTGGGTGACAGGCCTGAGACTGTGGAGAATAAGCAGGCATCGGCCTGGCCCACACAGAACCCACAGCCCTTGAAGGGGTGGAGACTCACCAAGTGCCTGCTCGTGGTCCAGGCAAAGTAGTCACCTGAGAGAGGGAACCATGGGCTCTTTACAGGTAGAGGACGACGAAGCTCCGCCAGAGAGGAGGACTTGTCTGGGCAGGGTTTTGAAGCATGAATAGAAGTTGGGAGTGAAATGGGGCTGGAAGCGTATTCCAGAGGGAGATACAGACAGGATCAAAGGCTTGGAGGGCTGGGCAGCCTGGAGGGTGTGGGGGCCAGAGACCAGGTTGGTGAGAACATATGGACAGCTAAGGTGGGAAGGACATTCTGGGCAGGGGCTTTGTGTGGACCAGCACAGGGAGGTGGGCAGTGTGAGCCTTTCCCGGGAAACGGCTTGGCTGGTGTGCGAGGGGAGGAGTAGGAGGAGAAGTCAGAGGAGCCGGAGGTCTCAGTGGACCAGGTCAGGGCCTGTGTGGGGGACCACAGCGGGAAAAGTGACAGTGATTCCCTAACCCTCAGGGGCAGGCGGTGAGGGCATTCCCGGAGGCACAGCTGTGGCCTGGGGCAGTGAGCACTGGTCGTGGTCACTGGTTTCTGGTTTCTTACCTAGTTGGGTCACTCACTGGCTGTGTGGCCTTGGGCAAGTCACTGCATCTCTCTGAGCCAAGTTTTCCCTTCCACAGCGTGGGTAGCCAGCACCTTCCTCGCGGGGATGTGTGTAGCAAGAACTGGCTTGCAAAACCTCCCCTATTCCGAGCTTGGAGCCCTGGGATGGCCCTCCCAGCATTCGTTGGGCTTCCCCGTCTCTGATATTTGTCAGGCCCCTCACCCCGTGTCTGGCCTTCCGCCAGCTGTGGGGGCAGGATCAGGCATGTACTCCTTGGTGGCCCCAGCGCTGGCTCTGCACCCGATGCATAGTAGGTGCCTAGCAAGTGCATCTGGAGGCTCGTTCGATGGCCCTGCAGGGCTCTCTGGGTCTGGCGGGAGACATTGGGAGTCAAGGTCAGTGCCTCACACCATCTCCTCGGCAGCATGTGTCTTTCTACCGTTTGCCGTGGCCCTTCCCATGGCCAGTGACTAACAGCTTTCACGCACACTCTGGGGTGGGCTGAAAGGCCCCGGAAGCAGCCCTCTTTCCCTGGAAGATGGGAGATGAATGACAGCACCCTAGCTTCCTGCCTTCTCTGGGGACGCCCTGAGCACGGTCCGTTCTGTCTCCCAGGTGGCCCCAGCAGGACTGAGAGCAGCAGCAGTCCACAGCCATGACAACTCAACCACCTGCCCTGTGTCAGCTGCTGTCCCCTCCTTTATTCCTCCCCACTCCCCTTCTGCAGCATCCTGGAGTCACTTCCCGAATAAACCCCTCACATCACCTCCTTGTCTCAGGGTTTGCTTCTGGGGGGACCCAGCCTGAGACGGGATGAACATTCATTCGACAAAATATTGCGGCTGGGCGCAGTGGCTCACGCCTGTAATCCTAGCACTTTGAGAGGCCGAGGCGGGCGGATCACTTAAGTTCAGGGGTTCGAGACCAGCCTGGTCAACATGGTGAAACCCTGTTTCTACTAAAAATACAAAAATTAGCTGGGCGTGGTGGTGCATGCCTGTAATCCCAGCTACTTGGGAGGCCGAGGCAGGAGAATCACTTGAACCCAGGGGGCAGAGTTTGCAGTGGGCCGAGATGGTGCCACTGCACTCCAGCCTGGGCGACAGAGCGTGATTCCATTTCAAAAAACAAACAAACAAACAAAAAACAACAAAAAGCAAACATTGAGTGGCAGCATAGGGAGAGAGGTAAGTTTATTCTCATCAAGACTGGGAGGAAAAGTTACACAGCCTCAATTACCTTTCCAAAGGACAGGTACGGGTAGGAAAAGGATTAAGAGACAATCTTTTTTTCTTCTTGTTAACTTGTATTACATTTTTAAAAAATATAATGAATCAGTAATGAAACAAATAAAGAAACCCAATTGCAAATGCTGTGTGACTTTGGGCCAGTCGCAGACTGTCTCTAGGTCTCAGCCTCCGAGGAATGACATGGAGCTGGACCACAATTCCCAGGTTCTGGGGTTTGAGATTGACCTTACCTCCGCCTTGCCTGCTCCCCACAGGTTTGACAACTATTCAGCCAATGTGATGGTGGACAGCAAGCCAGTGAACCTGGGGCTGTGGGACACTGCTGGGCAGGAGGACTACGACCGTCTCCGGCCGCTCTCCTATCCACAGACGGTGTGCTGCTCCCACCTGCCTTGCAGTCCTGACCTTTGCTGTCTCTGTTCCCTCTGCTTGGGATGCCCTTCCAGCCAGCTCAGCCTGGGAAACCCTACCTCTCCCCTTAAGGCCCAGCTCAGGGAGTCTGCCTGCCTTGCATGTCCCAGGCAGAGAAGGGCTTCCTCTTGCACTCCCTCAGCCCTGCATTGGTTCCCGGTCCTCAATGTGCCCATCTTCCCACCCCATTGCCTCCTGGGCTCTGGCACCCCCTGTTTCCAGTGGTGGGGCAGGTGGATTCTGCACAGGGCCCCAGGAGGCAGCCCAGCATGGTGAGCCCTGGGAGTGCTGGGGGAGGGGAGAGGTGGAGGATGCCTGCAGGTGGCTGCTGGGTCCTCGCCCTTCCTCCAGGGTATGCAGGGAGGCGGCTAAGGCCGGTAATCAGATGGTGGATAGTATATGGATTGGAGTATGGACTCTAGAATCCCAGATCCTCCCCTCACCAGAGTGCACGTTGGCAAACTCTTTAACCTCTGGAAGCCTCACTTTCCCTGTCTGAGGAATGGGGCTACCAGCAGTGCTTGCTGCAGAGTGACATGTGAGGATAACCACTTCGCAGAGGCCCTGGCCTTTAGTGAGCGTCCTAACAAACAGCAGCCTCGTGGTAGAGGCGAGAAGGGTATCTCTGCTCTGCCCAGATCCTAAGTCCCCAGCATTCCCTGGGGTGTTCCACCCTCAGGGAGCCCCAAGCTCCACCTCTCGGTGGCTGCCATGGTGGGACACCTCTGGGCCCTCCTCACTAGCAACCTCGCTTGCTCTGTCCCCAGGACGTCTTCCTCATCTGCTTCTCCCTCGTCAGCCCAGCCTCTTATGAGAACGTCCGCGCCAAGGTGAGCTGGACAGGGTGGGCCTTGGGGGCTCTGGGGCAGGTAACCCTGAGGGACAGAGGGAGGAACTGGTGACTCTAGGCTGGTCCCTGGGGCAGCAGAGGTCGCATACAGAGAGGGTCCCCAGTGCCAACCAGGGCTGGCAGAGGGACTTGAGGGGGTAAGATTCAGAGGACCTGGGGTGGGGGGTGCTGCGATAGTTAGCTATACCCCCACTTTCCATGGCTGCATTCTCCTCCTCCCCACACAACCTCATGTCCGCCTCCGATTGTCACATAACCTCATGTTTGCTTCTTATGTCTGCACAAAACCTCGCCTCCTCCTTTCCTACAATCATGCGCCCCCTCCTTCCTGCACAACGTCGTGGCCTCCCCTCCCTGTGCCACCTCACGTCTCTCTCTCCTCACCGTCGTGCCCACCTCTGATCTTCTGGCAACTTGCTGCCTCTCCTCTCCCTACACCCTCACACTCCCTCTGATCCCCGCACAGCCTCGCGCCCCCTCTTGACCCATACAACCTTGTGTCCCCCCACCCACCTGCCCAGTGGTTCCCAGAAGTGCGGCACCACTGCCCCAGCACACCCATCATCCTGGTGGGCACCAAGCTGGACCTGCGGGACGACAAGGACACCATCGAGAAACTGAAGGAGAAGAAGCTGGCTCCCATCACCTACCCGCAGGGCCTGGCACTGGCCAAGGAGATTGGTATGGGCCTCGGGCTCAGAGGGGCGATCTGGCTGCAGGGGAGGCCCTGACTTGGCCTCGTGGTGTGATTGTAAACACGGGCTGCAGGGCCAGGCTGTGCAGTTTGAACTCAGCTGTGCTGTGCACTTGCTGTGTGACCTTGGGCGAGTCACGTAGCCTCTCTCTGCCTGTGTTTCCTTATCAGAAAAGCATGGGATAGTGATAGCTCCTGCCTCCTGGGGTGGTTGGGGGAATTCAGTAACTTATTCCAGGTGGAGCTGCCAGGGCAGCACCTGTGTGTGAGAAGCACTCTGTGTTAGTAGTAGTCGTCCTAGTAGTATGAGTAGTATCTATTAATAGATACTGAAAATAAGGAGGTGTGCTTTGAGCAGACAGAAGCAGAGATTGAGTGGGGGTGCTGTGGTTGCTTGGAGGACAAGTGGCAAGTCAAACTTGGGTGTTCTGGGAAGGCTTCCTGGAGGAGGTGGCGCTGCATTAGATCTAAAGGGTGACACATTTCCTTCCACCACCTTCTCTCCTCCCTTTCCCCACTCCCTTTGGTTTCTCAGCTCGACCCCTCTTTGCCTCCAAATCACTGGGCTGGAGAAATATAGTAACTTCTCAAGGTCACCCAGCTAGTAGGTGGCCCAGCCAGATTTGAAGGAAGGACAGCAAATTATTGGCTCACTGCTGGGGGGTGCTTCTTTGTAGTGGCTCAGGGCTGCCTGCATCAGGGAGGCGATGACCATGGGTCTGGCTTCATGCATGGTACCCAGGCCTGCTGGCTGTTCCTGTCCCTGTCCCTGGTAGGTCCCAATGTGTCTGTAGCTCAGGGATCCTTGCCCAAAAGCCCAAAACCACCAGCTGGGTTTGGTCATATGAGCTGTGCCCTCTGCCTCACCACAGGACTCTGCAGGCCCAGGGTTTGGCCCCCAAATTGAATCCACTAGACCTCCTCCCGCCCCACCGCCCCAGCCCCGCCCCACCTCCCCCTGCCGGAACTGGGAGGGCCCTGGGGACTCACATCTCTTCACAGGAAGAGAAACCGCAGCCACCACCTCCCTCCTTCTGTGACTAGCGTGGTGACACAGCCATCTTCCCCGGGGGCCTCAGACTATGGCTCACACCCTGGCTCCCTTCCCCTGTCCTAGGGCCACAGCTCCCCAGCCTGCAAGTCTTTCCTTTTAAATATCAAGGATTCATCCCTGCCTTCTCTTTCTGACCAACCAGCACCCCTCCAACCCCTGCCCCTGGACTCCTTCTATTCAGGGTGCAGCTCTCCAGCCTGTGGCCTGGCTGTCACTGACCTCTCCCTTGTAAAGCACATGCTTTGGGATCATGTGGAGGGTGCTGGAGGCCTGGATTCTGGTCCTGGCTCTGATACTGATTGGCTGTGTGACCTTGGGTTAGTGGCTGCCCCTCTCTGGGCCTCAGTCTCCCTCTCCACATAAGCTGACCTGGACAATCCCCAAAGGCCCTCTCTCCTCCATAAGGTGGTGACTCAGAGTTCTTGCCTTGGCCTCTAGCCAGTCTTTCCTGGCTGACCCTGCATGGAGCTGGGGCAGGGGCAGTGATTTTAACTGTGCCTCAGACCAGCTTAGGCCTAGGGGGAGTCCTGGGGGGACTGGCAGGGATAGTGAGGGAAGCAGCAACTGCCTCTGCCCACCTGGACTCCCCAGCCCTGGGATGACAAGTTTTGGGGGCAGCCCTGAGCCCAGCTGATAATCACAGCTGATGTGGACTGAGCACTTCCTGGGAGCCACTTCATTCTCACAGCAGCTATGACGAAGAGCTCTTGTCACCTTCACTTTACAGAGAGGAAACAGGCTCGGGGGGACATGTTGCTGGCTTAAGGCCACCCAGCCAGGATTCTGACAGGGGTGGACTGGCTCCCTAAGCCACAAAGCTGAGGGCCATCTGTCCTCCCTGCACCTCCACTGCCCCCACCGCCCCCTCACCCTCCTTGCCCTCTCTGTAGCTCCCCTGCCCCCTGCCTCAGCTTGATGAGCCATCGCATGGCAATGAGTCCTAGACAGATGGGAGACTGAGGCCCGGAGAGGGGGAACTGACTAAAGTCCTAGAGCAGTGAGAGGCCGAGCCAAAGTGAGCCCTGGCCCCCCAGCTCAGGACCCTTGTCCTGGGTGAGTGGGTGGCTGGGTGCCAGGGAAAAGGCAGTTGGTGGATGTGGGGGAAGTGGACGCAGATGTGGTCCCTTATAAGGAGACAGTGGCCAAGTGCCCAGTGACACCTCCTCAACACAGGGGGCTGTGGTGACCAGACTCCGGGCTGAGCTCAGGGCACCCTGCTCTTGCCAGCCAAGCCCCATGACAACCACTGCCCATGATCCCTGGTGGGCGTATATGCCTCCAGGTAGAGGGGAGACGCCCAGCATGTGACTCAGAGCGAGTGACATCCTCTCTGAGCCTCAGGCTCCTCGTCCCTGCCCCACCCTTCCTTTCTCCCCAGCACCTGGCCTCAGTGGGCTCCCCTGTTCCAGGGGCTGCCCCTCCTGCCATCCCGACTTCTCCCCCCAGCTCTGTGCCTTCGGGCCTTGGCTTCCCCACTCTGGGCCTGTTTCCTGGTCTGTGAAATGGGAACTCACCCCGGTGTTGTTGGAAGCACCCAGCTCAGTGCCTGGCACAGGGTAGGTGGTGACCAGCGTCCATCCCCTTCCATCCTGCCACAGAGAAGCAAGCGGGCTTTGGCGGAGGGCCCAGAGTTCCCCTCCCCTCCCTTCTCCTTCCTCTTGGTTCTGACATCGGCCCCCAGGCCTGCATAGCATCTCGGCAGAAGGGGTTTTGTGGTTTTTCACTTCAGGGAAACTGTGCAGCTTGAAATGGACATGGGAAGTCACACGGACTCTTTGCAGAATGTCATGGAACGCCGTCCCTGGGGGTGGGAACTAGGCCTGCCTTTCTCCTCATCTGTGCCCCGGGCTCTAGCCCTGAGGGGTCTTCATGTGGGAGAAGGCTGGGCCTCCCATGGCAGGACAGAGGAGCTCTCCAATGCCACTCCTCCCAGAAGGCCCCCAGCTGGGCCCAGGTTGAGGGAATACATCCAGCGTGTGAGTTTGGATGAGTCGCATACTCTCCAGGAGCCTCAGTTTCCTTGTCTGTAAGACAGGGACGGTGCTAAGGAAGGGGCTGATGATGTTGGGAAGTTCCTGGGGAGGGGGCCCTGAGGGCTTCAGGCCTCCTGGGGATTATTTGCAACCCTGGGAGAATCCTGGAGGGATGGGCAAGACAATTTTCTAGAAGGTGAGGCTCCCAGAGATTTGGTCACTGATGCTTGAGCCCTTTCCTTCACAGAAAAGCATCAAAATTCCCGCCCTCCTTCCACGGACTAAGGGCTATGTGTCCAAGAAAGACACAGACCTGCCCTGGAGGCCTTAGTCTCTCACTGAGTTCACGCTCGCTATTACAGACATGAGGAAACTGAGGCACGGTGACGTTAAACTCCTTGCTCCTGGTGACACAGCCTCCAGGTGACCCCACTGGGACTGGATGGCGGCCCCCAGAGCCTGGTGTTCAGTTGTATGGCTTGGGAGGGGGTGTACGGCATGGAGGGGTGTATGGCGTGGGAGGGGGTGTATGGGGTGGGAGGGGTTGTATGGCATAGGAGGGGTGTATGGCGTGGGAGGGGTGTATGGTGTGGGAGGCGTGGGAGGGGTATATGGCGTGGGAGGCATGGGAAGGGGTGTATGGCGTGGGAGGGGGTGTATGGCGTGGGAGGGGTGTATGGCATGGGAGGCGTGGGAGGGATGTATGGCGTGGGAGGGGGTGTATGGCGTGGGAGGGCTTGTATGGCATGGGAGGCATGGGAGGAGTGTATGGTGTGGGAGGGGTGTATGGCGTGGGAGGGGTGTATGGCGTGGGAGGGTGTATGGCGTGGGAGGGGTATATGGCGTGGGAGGGGTGTATGGCGTGGGAGGGGTGTATGGCGTGGGAGGCGTGGGAGGGGTGTATGGCATGGGAGGGTGTATGGCGTGGGAGGGGTGTATGGCGTGGGAGGAGTGTATGGCGTGGGAGGGGTGTATGGCGTGGGAGGGAGGGTGTATGGCGTGGGAGGGGTGTATGGCGTGGGAGGGTGTATGGCGTGGGAGGGGTATATGGCGTGGGAGGGGTGTATGGCGTGGGAGGGGTGTATGGCGTGGGAGGCGTGGGAGGGGTGTATGGCATGGGAGGGTGTATGGCGTGGGAGGGGTGTATGGCGTGGGAGGAGTGTATGGCGTGGGAGGGGTGTATGGCGTGGGAGGGAGGGTGTATGGCGTGGGAGGGGTGTATGGCGTGGGAGGGGTGTATGGCACGGGAGGGTGTATGGCGTGGGAGGGGTGTATGGCGTGGGAGGGGTGTATGGCGTGGAAGGGGTTGTATGGCATAGGAGACATGTTGGCCCAGAACCCCCCCCGCCACTTAGGCCTTGGCTCTCCTGTCCATCTCCCCAACCAGACTCGGTGAAATACCTGGAGTGCTCAGCTCTCACCCAGAGAGGCCTGAAAACCGTGTTCGACGAGGCCATCCGGGCCGTGCTGTGCCCTCAGCCCACGCGGCAGCAGAAGCGCGCCTGCAGCCTCCTCTAGGGGTAAGAGTCCCCCACTCTAGTGCCCAACTCCCATACACAGCAGGCCCTGGCTGAGCAGTGGCCTTTGGTTCACTGTGAGTGGCATTTAGGCCAGGACAGAAAGAAGGTGGGTATGGAGGTTGCCTCAGTTTCCGCAGCCTACTTGTCATCTGCCTGGGCCAGTCTCACTCTCTGGAGCTCATCTTCCAGAGGCAAGGCCCAAGGTATGAATGAATGCCTGGTAACCCCCCACCCCCGGGCCAGGGAGTGGGTGTCACGGAGCCCCACTCTGCCCATTCCTGCAGGAGGTGATGGAAAAGATGCCTTGGTCCCTGGCCCTAGGAGAGCCCAGTCGAGCCAGGGAGATCCTGCACCCACATATGTGGGTGGAGGTGGGAGAGCCTGAGCTATGATCCCCAGGGGGCAGATGGTGGGGTCAGTGAGTTGGAGGCAGCCCACAAGGCCTCCTGGAGGTGTGGGACCAGAAGGACAGAGAGGACTGGTGAGGTGGGGAGAGCAGCATTGGCAGTCCTGGTGGGAGTCAAACCTTGAGCAAAGACCTGGAGGTGGGAATGAGCTGTGAGCCAGGAAGGCGAGAGCTGTGGATTCTGCATGTCCCCAAATTCTCTTTCCCTGCTTATCTTCCTTCCAGGTTGCACCCCAGCGCTCCCACCTAGATGGGTCTGATCCTCCAGGATCCCCACCCAAAGCCTGATGGCACCCCGGCTGGCCATGCTGTCCCCTCCCTGTGGCGTTTCTTAGCAGATGGCTGCAGAGCTTCGTTGATGGTCTTTTCTGTACTGGAGGCCTCCTGAGGCCAGGAACGTGCAAATTTGCAGGTGCTGCATCCCAAGCCCCTCATGCTCCTGCCTTCCTGAGGGCCAGAGGGGAGCCCCAGGACCCATTAAGCCACCCCCGTGTTCCTGCCGTCAGTGCCAACTGCCGCATGTGGAAGCATCTACCCGTTCACTCCAGTCCCACCCCACGCCTGACTCCCCTCTGGAAACTGCAGGCCAGATGGTTGCTGCCACAACTTGTGTACCTTCAGGGATGGGGCTCTTACTCCCTCCTGAGGCCAGCTGCTCTAATATCGATGGTCCTGCTTGCCAGAGAGTTCCTCTACCCAGCAAAAATGAGTGTCTCAGAAGTGTGCTCCTCTGGCCTCAGTTCTCCTCTTTTGGAACAACATAAAACAAATTTAATTTTCTACGCCTCTGGGGATATCTGCTCAGCCAATGGAAAATCTGGGTTCAACCAGCCCCTGCCATTTCTTAAGACTTTCTGCTGCACTCACAGGATCCTGAGCTGCACTTACCTGTGAGAGTCTTCAAACTTTTAAACCTTGCCAGTCAGGACTTTTGCTATTGCAAATAGAAAACCCAACTCAACCTGCTTAAGCAGAAAATAAATTTATTGATTCAAGTTTGGAGATATCGTGATTTCAGGTGCAGCTTGATCAAGGTATTCAAATGATGTCATCGAGGCTTGTTTAGCTCTGGGCTCTGCCTTCTGCTGGCTGGTTCATTCTCAGGCAGGCGACTTAGGGCTTCATCCTCCCAAGTTCAAGTTCAGGGTTTCATCCTTCCAAGTTCAAGTTCAGGGCCTCATCCTTCCAAGTTCAAGTTCAGCCAAAAAGAGCAAATGTCTATCCCAGGCAAAGTTCTAACTAAGATTTACTGTGATTGGACCAGCTTAGGTCCTGGGCCCCCTTTTAACCAATCATATTTGTCAGAGTGGTGCAGTGCTGTGCTCTGACTGGCCAGGCATGGACCATATGCCATGCTGGAACAGAACTGCGGCAACCCCAGCGAAAGCGTGTGTACTGGGGGGGAGGGTGAGTTCCAAAGTGGGCTGAGAGCCTGGCGGGAATTTGGGAATTTGGGCGAGAAACCCTCAACCTCCACTACTGGAGGTCATGGGAAAGTGTTCATTTCAGCAGTGAAATGAAACAATGCTGGACCCCGAAGGTGATAAGCAAAGGGGAGTTTCTTTAAAAGAGAGGCGGGGTTGTTGTGAGGATTTAAGAAGTTCCGACATGGGCACAACAGTGCCTGCACAGTCAGTCCCACCTCAGGACTTGCTAAGTTCTGTGGAGGTGCCAGACCTCCCCCTCCTGCGGACAATTACTCTCCTCTATCTCAACTTCTCACTCATTCATCAAACACACATTTATTGAGCACCTCTTCTGTGCCTGGCACTGTTCTAGGTGCCAGGGATCCAGCAGTGCTCAGAAGTCCCTGCCCTCAGGAGGCTGACACTCTAGAGAGGCTAAGAGATCTAAGAGGCTGCCCCTGACAACCCAGAAGACCCCAATTTCCAGCCCATGAAATGCTTGAGTTTCCACATTGTGCTTTCCCAGAGCTCCCAGCCAACCCCACTATCCCCATTAGTCCCCATGTTCTGAGGCAGGACCCCCTCCAGCTCACTCACCTCCTGGGAGCCCCCCTTAAAAGGGATTAGGTGCAGAGGGGAAACCCCTTTGCTTTTCTTAGTTTCAGCTCAAAGTCATGATGTTTTCAAAGTTACTTCTCTTCTGAAACAGAAAGGAAATACTAAACCCCACCCATCCATGGCACCATACAGATGCAGGCGGCCAGGACCCCACTCCCTAGTATGTTCGATGTCTAAGATCCCTGAGGCACCCCCTGAGGTTGGCCAGAGTCTGAGGGAGCCTCTTTCTGATCCCTCCTCTTCACAGAGCCTTGGGATAAACTCCAGAGCCTCCGCAACAAACCATGGCCCTGAAGGTCTGGCCATCCTCTGCCTCCCACTCTTATTGCACTCGTGCCTCTACCATCAGACTGGACTGTCATTTCTTCCACTCCACATTCATGCTTCTTTCATTCCAGGCCTTTGAACATACTGGACCCCTTTCCTTTGCTCCTGGAACTTCCCTGCAGGGCAAAGGTGGGCCCGGATCTCCTTCCATGTGTGTTCAGCCCGTTAGGTCGACCCCAGTAGAGACAATCTTTGCTTCTATATGATAATAATGTCAGTAAATAACTTCCTTTACTCATTGTCTTGGCTCCCATGCACATATTATCTCATTTAATGTTCTAATAGCCTTCCAAGATAGGTACTCTTAGCCACGGTTTGCAGAAGAGGAGATGAGGATGCGGGAGGGCACAGGTTTGGCTCAAATTGACAAGGCAGATGCTGTCCTTTCCCACCCTCTCCCTCTGTTCCCATCCTCCTTGCTAACAGAATCCTAGTTTTGTGCATAGCAGCACCGTACCTAACACCAACAAAATACTCGTTTTTCCAGCTGGTTTTGTCACTGGGGTTTTCAGGCCACATAGTTCTGGCCTAGAAGCCGATGTGAATGAAAGTCAGCGGGAGAGATGGCTTCTGTGAAAGTTGTTTTCTTCCTTAAAAAAATGACAGGCCCAGGCCGGGCGCGGTGGCTCACGCCTGTAATCCCAGCACTTTGGGAGGCTGAGGTGGGCGGATCACGAGGTCAGGAGATCGAGATCATCCTGGCTAACAC
Source organism: Homo sapiens (assembly GCF_000001405.40). Classification (NCBI taxonomy): domain Eukaryota; kingdom Metazoa; phylum Chordata; class Mammalia; order Primates; family Hominidae; genus Homo; species Homo sapiens. Next base: position 37,223,204 of record NC_000022.11, on the reverse strand, counting down.
GGTGAAACCCCGTCTCTACTAAAAAATACAAAAAAATAGCCGGGTGTGGTGGTGGGCGCCTGTAGTCCCAGCTATGCGGGAGGCTGAGGCAGGAGAATTGTGTGAACCCGGGAGGCGGAGCTTGCAGTGAGCCGAGATTGCGCCACTGCACTCCAGCCTGGGTGACAGAGCAAGACTCAAAAAAAAAAAAAAAAAAAAAATGACAGGTGGGATGTCTGGAGCTGCAGCAGCCGTCTTGTGAGCTTGAAGCCACAAACATGAAGATACAAGGCCCCGTGCTGAGAGGGGATGAGCAGAAAGATAAAAGGAGCGTGAGTTCCTGGCAGCAGCAGTGGGCAGCTGAGCCAATGCTAACAGCTGCCTTGTTATGGGAACTGAAGAAAATGAAACCACCCAATTGTTAATGTCACCGTTGGTCACACCTTTTGTTACGGTAAGCTGACAGCATTTGTCACTGAAGCGGTAGGACTCCTAGCGCAGTGCTCTTCCCACTGTATAACTGTTCCCAGCAGCCACTCCAAGTGGGGTGAGCCACTTGTTTCTGCTCTGCAAATTGGCTGAGGATGGAGGCCCCTCATATAGGAAAGAGAAAGCTTATGGGAAGTCAATGAGAACCTGTTTTGAAACAGGAAGACCTGCCGGTTGTGGGCAGGAGCTGACACCATGGTTTGCTCTTTCATGTGACAACAACCCCTCCCAAGTGCCCACCTAGTGCCAGGCCTGGGCTGGCAGCAGGTTCCATGCCTCACTTCGCCCCTTCTTGCAATGAAATCATGGCCTGGTGGTTGAGGAAAGTGCCTGCCAGACAAGGCCACTTCATCTGGTGCTTTCTATTCTAGAGACTGGCTGTTCCTTGTCCCTTCTTCAAAGCGGAGGCCTGGGGTCCCCCAAACTCCTCCGATCCTTTCACCCTGGCATTCACTGGCCACCAAGCTTGGACAATTCAGCCTCTGTCTATTAAATCCACCCCTTGTCCCCACGGCTGCTCCCTAACCTAACCCCTGCCATGTCTCCCCTGGACAGTAGCCACAGCCTCCTCACTGGCCTCCTGTCTTCCCTCTCTCTGCCTCTACTCCATTTGCCACCAGGTGGCCTGGGGATTTTCCTCATTTACAAACAACTGTGCAGTCAAAAATGCTGATAGAACCACAGACTTATTCAATCATTGAATCCTTCAGCAAATAGTTATTGAGACCGTGTGTCAAGCCCAAGGCTTGGGGGTGGGTCAAGCATGAGCCCGCTCTCAGGAGCTCACAGGCCAGTGGGGAGGCTGTCCAGCCAGCAGAGAGCCCCAGGAAATGGCCCTTCTGCTTGGATGTCTCCTGAGCATTTCAAACTCACACGCCCCGCCCAGCCTTCATCACTCAGTAAATGCATCCAGGCTCTCAAATCAAAAACCTGGGAGTCCTCCTTGACACCTTCTCCCTCACCTTCCACTTCCAACCCATCACCGACAATCTCCTCAGTGACCCCCTTCTCTGCATTGTCATGGTTTCTAATGTCCAAACCAGCACTGTATCCTCCCTGTGGTAGCCTCCTGTCATAGTCAGCAATTGGTACAATAATGCTGTGTAACAAACCAAACTGCCTTGAAATCCAGAGGCAAGAAGCAGCAGGCCTGTATTCTCACACTCACTAGTTGTAGGTGGACAGTGGGTCTGCTGACTTAGGAGGGTTTGGCTGGTGACTTGGCTTCGGGCTGGGGATGGGTGGTCTCGGTCCTGGCTGTGGGTGTGTGTGGGTCGGCTCCACCTGTCTCTCATCCTCCTTAGACCAGCATTCCCTGGGGCATGTCCTTCTCATTGTGGATCACAGGAGCATGAGAAGCCAAGCCAAACCATGAGGTGTTTAAGGCCTCTGCTCATGCTTCACATGGCCGAGCCCAACACCACCAATGGGGCAGGGACAGGAACTCTTCCCAGACTTGGAGGAAAGGAAATATTTGCTGAGCACCAACTGAGCACCAATCCTAATGCTCACACCTCCTGACTGGCCTTCTTGTTTTCACTCTTGCCCTTGGCCATGGTTTATCTCCACGGAGTGGCCAGAGTGATCGCGTTAAACTACCAATCAGATCAGACCACTCCCTTGTATAACACCGTCCAGTGGTATCTCTGGACATTTGGCACGAAACCTCCTCCCTCACCTACAAGGCCTATAGGATGTTGTCAGTTTCTACCTCCAGATCTCACTTGGCACTATCTTCCCTTTCCTTGCAAAGCTCCAGCCACAAGGGCTGTGATCTGGTTTGGCTGTGTCCCAACACAAATCTCCTCTTGAATTGTAGTTCCCATAATCCCAAGGGAGGAACCCAGTGGGAGGTAATTGAATCCCATAATCCAGGTGGGAGGAACCCAGTGGGAGGTAATTGAACCATGGGGGAGGGGGACGATTACCTCCATGCTGTTCTCGTGATAGTACGTGAGTTCTCACAAGATCTGATGGTTTTATAAGGGTTTTCCCCTTTTGCTTGGCACTTCTTCCTGCCATCATGTGAAGAAGGATGCGTTTGCTTCCCCTTCTGCCATAATTGTAAGTTTCCTGAGGATTCCCCAGCCATGCTAAACTGTGAGGCAATTAAACCTCTTTCCTTTATAAATTACCCAGCCTTGGGTATGTCTTTACTTTTATTTTTTATTTTGTTTTATTTTTTGAGATAGAGTCTTGCTCTGTTGCCCAGGCTGGAATGTAATGGCATGATCTCAGCTCACTGCAACCTCCACCTCCCAGGTTCAAGCAATTCTCCTGCCTCAACCTCCTGAGTAGCTGGGACTACAGGCATGTGCCACCACACCCAGGTAGTTTTTGTATTTTTAGTAGAGACGGGGTTTTGTCATGTTGGCCAGGCTGGGGGTATGTCTTTATTAGCAGTGTGAGAACAGACTAATGCAGGCTGCTCCCAGGATTTTCACTGTGTGCCAGGCCCCTTCTACCTTGGGACCCTTGCTCAAGCCGCTCCTTCCACACATAGCACCTACTCTCCCAGATCTTCCTCCACAATCACCCCACACTCAATCTCGATCACCTCCTCCTCCTGCTTCTCTCTTGGTGCCTCTGTTGAAGAACAGTCTTCATCACTGTTTATAATTGTTTATTAAATAGGTGTATTTATTCAAAAAGTGCTTCCCGTCTAGACTGTAAGCTCAAACACACAGAAGGACCTGCGTGTTTTGTTTTACACTAAGGCCCTAGTGAGTCCTGGCCACCTAATCCATGCAGAATGAATGTTATTTGTACAAATGAGTAAGTGGGTGAAAGAATGGACTTTAATGAAAATAGAGAGACTGAACCATGCCAGCGACCCAGCTGAGCCCAGCCTCCAACCACCCCAGCCAGGTGCCAGCCATGTACAAGAGCTGACCTGGATGTGCCGGCCTAGCTGAGTCTCCAGGTGACTCGCAGTCAGCCACCATCAAAGAAAAAGAATGGCCTGAATGAGCCCAGCCAACCCACAGAATCATGAGGGATAATAACATGGCTATTGTAAGCCACTACATTTTGGGGTGGTTTGTGACACAGGTACTGATACTGAAACCTTGACTTTTTGGAGTCTAGACTCTTCGTTATCTGCTCCTCCGATCTCTGACCTCTCCTCTCTACCCACCATTCCTACCACGCTCCAGAGAGATACTGACATTTGGGGACATCTGACTCCATCCAGCTCTCACATGATATGGGAGGCAGAGCAGGACAGGTCCCGGAGAGGGAGAGGCAGATCCAGGATATCCCTAGAAGGCTTCCGGAGAGGACCTCAAGGAAGGTAAAATGAGCAGTTTTTTGCAGAATCCAAAATTCAATACAGTTCCCACCTATTAACTATGTGCTTCACACCAAGCTGTGGCAGGAGCTGGAGGTGCAGAGAGGGGTGAGGCACAGCCCCTTGCGCACCAGCAGCTCAGAAGCCAGTGGGAGAGACAGACGTGTAAATAGACATCCACCATGTGGCTTGATCCACAGATCACAGAAATATATTCAATACAGAAAGGAAGAGACTCTCGTCTCAAGGCGCTAGGGTAGAGATGTTTCCACCCCCACCTCCTCGCTGAAAAGCAGCCACGACAAGAAGGAGAACAAGAAACAGAAACACAAACTCCCACCTTCAAAGAAGCCAGGAGACACCTGTAACCCCAAACCACAATGTATGAGCAGCAAGAGCAGATGGAGGGTGGTAAATGATTGAACAGAGCTGAGGAAGGCAAACCTAAGTGCCTGCTGCTACATGGTGGGGTGGAGTAGGGGCTTTGGAGACAGAAAAGATGCAAATCACCTGGTCTTGCAGAACCCTGGGGAGGCTTAGAATTAGGGAACCCAGACATCATGGATGGTGAGGCAGGAGGCTGAAAACAGGGGTTGTGTGGAAGTCTGCTTAGGAGGAGTGAGATCCCCCAGCACCACCCCAGGTCTTCTCTTTTCCATTACGTGGTCAGGCACCCACCCCTCCCTAACCCCAGCAAGGAGTATTCAGCCAGAGTTCTCTGGACCCAGAGACATTCGCTACAGGGCAGAGTGGGGGTGAGGCACCACAATGCTTTTGGAGATGTCAATTCGATGATGCCTTGCAAATAATCACTCCTCCACTCCTACCCTCCCTACCCATCACTCCTACCATGCTCCAGAGAGAGATTGACACACCCTCTATGGGAGGGGCGTGTTTCCCCTCTCCCCTGATGCTGGGCTTGGCCATGTGACTTGCTGTGGCTACTGGGATGACAACCTCCACCTCCTGGGTTCAAGCGATTCTCCTGCCTCAGCCTCCTGAGTAGCTGGGATTACAGGCATGCGCCACCACGCCAGGCTAATTTTGTATTTTTAGTAGAGACGGGGTTTCTCCACGTTGGTCAGGCTGGTCTCGAACTCCCACCCCAGGTGATCCTCCTGCCTTAGCTTCCCAAAGTGCTGGGATTACAGGTGTGAGCCACCATGCCCGGGCTTAATGCCTCATTCTGAAACAGGAGTGGCTAACACAGGATGACTGGTTGAAGAAGGCTCTAATGATAGCATTGCCCCAAATGATAAATGAAAGAGACCCAATCAAATAAGTAGAAGAAAAGGAATATCAGTAAGCAATAAAGATGATGCAGTGAGCAGAAGAAAATTTTGACAAAACCATCATTGCCATCCTTGAAGAGATAAGGAAACATATATCCACAAATGAGTACAGAATGCCATAGCAAAGAGCAGGCAGAAATCAGGAGAGAGCTGGTTGGGCTCAGTAGCTCATTCCTGTAATCCCAGCAATTTGGGAGGCCGAGGTGGATGGATTGCTTGAGGCCAGGAGTTTGAGACTAGCCTGACCAACATGGTGAAACCCTGTCTCTACTAAAATTACAAAAATTAGCTGGGTGTGGTGGCATGTGCCTGTAATCCCAGCTACTCAGGAGGCTGAGGCAGAAGAATCACTTGAACCCAGGAGGCGGAGGTTGCAATGAGCTGAGATTGTGCCACTGCACTCCAGCCTGGGTGACAGAGTGAGAGAGCGAGACTGTCTGTCTCAAAAAACACAAACAAACAAACAAAAAAATAAAATAAAAAACAGGAGAGAGCTCTTGGAAATGAAAAATAGGTTGATTTAAAAAAAGAGGGACTGGAAGAGAAAAACAGATTTTTTTAAACCTCCCAGGAAGTAGAACAAAATTATAAAGATGAGCAACAAGAAGAATAAAGATTTCATCCAGGAGACCCAATATTCAAATATAATAGGAGTTACAGAAGGAAATAACAGAAAAATGTGTCTCAGAACTGAAGAACACAAATCTTCAGATTAAAAGGCTACTTGGTGCCCCCGAAGACAAATGAAAAAAGAATCAAATCTTGTTATAAAATTTTCAGAAATTTAAGGATAAAGCAAAGATCCTAGAAGATTCCAGAATAATAATAATAAAAAAATTAGCTTAAGTTACACAATGGATTGGGATTAAGAATTGTGCTGGAAGCTGGAGACACCGACAGACGCCTTCCATCAGCTGAGTCAGAGTCATTCTCAATCTCAAATTCTATACCTAGCCTACCTATCAACATGTGTGAGAGGGGAATTCACTATTTTGAAACATGCACACCTTCTCTGAAAGTTACTGGGAGCTATGCTACATCAAAATGAGAGAGGAGGCCAGGCGCGGTGGCTCACGCCTGTAATCCCAGCACTTTGGGAGGCTGAGGCAGGTGGATCACTTGAGCCCAGGAGTTCAAGACCAGCCTTGGCAACATGGCAAAACCCCATCTCTACCGAAAATACAAAAACTATCTGGGTGTGGTGGCATGCACCTGTAGTCCCAGCTACTCAAGAGGCTGAGGTGAGAAGATCGCTTGGGCCTGGGAGGCAGAGGTGGCAGTGAGCCGAGATTGAACCACTGCACTCCAGCTTGGGTGACAGAGCAAGACCCTGTCTCAAAAACAAAACAAAACAAAACAAAAAAACCCCAAGGCCCCCATAAAATGAGAGAGTAAAACATCAAAAAGGAAGACATGGAATCTAAGGAACTGGATTCATACAGGAAAAAGCTGAAGGGAATCCCCAAACAACAATGGAGAGAGAATCTCGGGATGTCAGCTGCGCACAGGCCCAAGGGGCAGCTGGCCCAGATAAGAGGAGCTCGTCAGTCTCCAGGACGAAATCGTCCCTGAGGCTGGACTCTGGAAACTCCACTGTGTGGTTTTTACGAAGCTATAGGAACGTGTGGAAATGCTTAGTCCAAGAAATCGAAGATATTTTTAAAAACCAAAAAACGAAGCAATTATGAACTCCTGGCTGAGCAGGAAATAATATTTACATTGCATTAATCATGGGAACACTGGATATGCATTTAACCGAAACTCATATTGAGAAGATGGGGAGAAGGGGTGAGAGTGCGTAAGAAATGTAAACTTCTCCTGTACTGTAAGAGGAGTCAGTAGATAATGGGTAAAATTGAGGGATTAAGACATAAAAAAATCAATATGATATTTAGCGAGAAAGAGCTTAACTGAGGGAGCAATTGCCGAGCGGGTGGGATTACCTGTGGGATGGGGGGGTGGGAGGGATGGGGGAGGACTGCTGTTTTTTGCTGTTACAAACCTTTTCAGCGCTACAGTAGTCCACTTAGCGCAGTTTCAGTTACCTGTGGTCAACCACAGTCTAAAAATATTAATAGATTTTGAAAGAAAAAGAGACAGAGAGGTCACCATCATATAACTTCTGTTATGATATATTGTTATATTGTTTTATTGTATATTGTATTATTAATTATTGCTGTTCGTCTCTTAACTGTGCCTAATTTATAAGTTAAACATTATCTTTCTCCACCATCGTGGTGTGTGGTTGACTCCGTTTCTCGCCACAGCTTCTCACAAGACTTTCAGGATCAAGTGATTCCTGCACAAGAAACAAAAGCAAAATTGTCCCATTCCCCAGTGGATCTGTATGAAAACTGGTAATAACATCAGGTACAGCTCCAAAAGGAGATATTGGAAAGAACCAAGCTGGGTCTATAAGGAATTGAGCATGAGATGCTACACATATTCATGTTGTATCAAGGTTGTGATCATATTACCATAGCAAGCTGAAAATGTCACCACTATCTGGACAGCTGGACATGTTTGATTGGGAAGGTACTTTTTCTCTTTGTTCATATGCTCTGCACTAGTAGGCTGGGTTCAGTAATACATAGGTGAGATCTTTTATTTAAAAAAAAGTTATCAGCCTGTAATCCCTGCTACTCGGGAGGCTGAGGCAGGAGAATCGCTTGAACCTGGGAGGTGGAGGTTGCAGTGAGCCAAGATCGCACCACTGCATTCCAGTCCGGGCAACAGCGCGAGACTCCGTCTCAAAAAAAAGAAAAAAATTATCAGGCTGGGCGAGGTGGCTCATGCCTATAATCCCAGTACTTTGAGAAGCTGAGGTGGGAGGATTGCTTGAGGCCTGGAGTTTGAGGCTAGCTTGGCCAACATAGGGAGACCCTGTTTCTTTTAAAAAAAAAATTACCATGGGTATGTAAAACATCATACAGGAAAAAATAATAGCATATATATACAGGTTCACTATAATCCACGGATTCAGGCATCCACTCAGGGTATTGGGATGTATGCACCGAGGCATAAGGGGCATAAAGCGGGGACTATTCTACTGGTTTCTAAATTTACTTGCAAACAGTACTTTGATAAAATAAAAGCAAATTAAAAAATCATTGCATTACAGATAAGGAATCCTGAAGGAGGGAGTGTTGGAGAAGGGGAGGGCTCTGGAGAAGGCTGCCAGAGCAGGGGATGCCTAACCAGGCTGAAGGTGAAGAGGGGGACCCGGAGTGGCCTGCTAGGGACTCGCGGCACCGGTGAGTTTCAGATGGAGGCCCTGGTGCTTTAGAACGAGAAGAGGGCCGAGTGGCGGAAGCGCAGGCTGAGGCTCGTTACATGGGGTCCCTAGGCCGCGGTCGGGACTGTGGATTTTATTTGACGAGGAACAGGTGGCCATAGGAGGTTCTCAAGGAGGCAGCTGGGATGACTTATGTTTGTAATGGACTCACTCTCTCTGCTGAGTAGGGGGCGAGGGTGGAAGCAGGGGAGTACAAGGTGATGGTGGGGTGGAGGAGGAAAAACCCTTCTTTACTGTCTTAGGGTCTCTGGCTGGGCTGAAGAATTAAACTGACATAAGGCAGATCAGCAGGAGAAAAACATACAGATTTCATTTACATGTACAAGGGAGCCCCCCCGCCTCCCGCCCAAATGACCAAGACCCAAAGAAGTGACTAGGCATAAAGGCTTTTGTACCAGGTTGAACATAGAATGGCAATTGTGTAACTAGGAAGATAAGGATTAAAAGATCTGTTCATACAGATTTCTTTTGGCCTCGACTCTCCTTATCTGGTAATGTCTTTCCTCCTCCTGGCATAGGGAGGGCGTCTTTCACAAGGCGTTTTAGCTCCTGCTTTCAGGAAGAAAAGGGGAGGTCAGAGCCCCCTTTCTGCACCTGCTGTTTCTGAAGTGCCTTTAGTGCAGAGAAATCAATATGCCAGAGTGGTGTATTCTGGGGTGGCGTGTCCTGAACCCCTTCAGTGGCCTGGCTCAGACGGGAGCCTGTGGATGGAGAGCAGTGGACGGGTTCCAGGCTGGAGCAGTAAGGCTCGGTGCTGGGGAGGTGTGTGGCAGGGGGCACACTGATGAGCATTCACTCCTTTAACCTTCGCAAGAACCCCCAGGCCAGGCAGTCAGGTGTGTACAATCTACTGAAGGAGAAAACCGAAGTTTAAGTTCAGTGCACGGCAGGGGTAGAGCTGGGGCTCAAACTCCCCTGTCCAGTCTTCAGCCCCTATACCCCAACCTGCAGGAATAAGTGAATGAATACATGAGGCTGGGTACGCCTGGGGCACAGAGGAGCGAGTGAAATCAGCAGAGGAGGAGGCCCGCGCAGGCGGCAGGAATCAAGGATGCAGTGCCAGGTGGGCTGCGGCGAGAGAGCTTTATTCTGAGGGCAGTGAGAAGCCGTGGGTAGGGGTGGGTGGTCAGTGCCATGGAAAACCCACCCTTGACCCTGAGGACACGCTCCCAGGAGCCCACCCACACCTCATGAACTTGTACGGACAAGGACAATGGGAGGCTGAGACCTGGAGCAAGGGCCTTGTCCCGGGCACAAGGCAAAGGGACGGGCAGCGTTAAGAGACCAGGCCGGCTCCGGCTGGAAGTGGGTGTGTCCTACTGTGTGCTGCCGCATGCATGGTGGCACCTCTGGATGCATTCAACTTCCAGTTCTCTGCAGTGCCAGGTACCTAGTGACAAAGGAGGTCCAGCCCTGGTCCCAGGGAATGGCCCAGTTTGGAAAGCAGCCTAGGTACAGCCTGGCACATAGTAGGTGCTCAGCCAAGACGTGTGTCCTTTTCCCTTCCGTCTCTGACTGTTCCTTTCCTTATCACTCCTGTGCTGAGGCAGGAATCAGCACAGGCAGGGGCACGGCATCCCAAGACATCTGGGCCTGTGCTCAGGACTGTACGGCAGAGTCTCTTAGACCAAAGATCAGTAAATATGGCCCACGGGGCAAATCCCACCCACTGCCTGTTTTTGTACAGCCTAGGAGCTGAGAATGGTTTTTACGGATGAACATTTGCAATCGGTTTGATGAAACACTAACTCTAAACTCCAATTAAGCAAAAGGTGATGTCTGTAAAAAGAACTCTATTCTTCTCATGAGTGGACCTACATTACAAAATACTGGCCTCAATTATTATTATTCTATTTTGAGTTTTGTCAGTTACAAAATAGTAAAAATCTGTTTTCTCACTGCACAATGATTTTGCCCTCAAAGCCTAAAATATTGGTTCTCTGTTCTGTCCTTCCACTCCTCACCCTGCCTGGGGCTCTCCAGATGTAACCAATCCCAGGACTAATGACCCCCACCCGGCCTCCCCAGTGGTCCGTGCTGCGGCCGGTGTGCCCGACTGCAGGGCTGGACTGTGGACTCCCGGGCTGGCCAGCCCCACACCCAGCCTTGCCTTGGGACACAGCTGCTGCCCCGGGGGACCTGTGCCGCAGTGGCCTCACGAGCTGCTCTGGCTACTGGCTGGCAGCCTCGGCTCCCCTGAGCACTGAGCACATTCTTCTCTCCAACTCCCTGCAGGAGCCAAGGCCAGCGGGCGTGGGTGGCTGAAATCTCCCCGGTAACAGGGTCTGCGCCCCTCCTGCTCCCTCTCCGGGCCTCCTCCCTTAACCTGCACCCCGCCCCCACCCCCCACACCTGCTCTCCGGCCCTCAGCCCCTCCCTGCTTACTCCCTCCTTCACGGGCTCCATGTCACCATCTGTGGCACAGTCCCTCTCTGTCACTCTCCCTGCCACCCCCTCATTCTCCTTCCTCCCTCCTGCCTCTCTCTGCATCTCTCCCTCTCACCCGTGTCTCCTCTCCTCTCTTTCCTTCTCGTCTTCTCCCTGTCACGCATCTCTCATCACTCCCCCTCATTCTGCCTTTCCTCCTACTCACGGTCTCCTCTCCCTCTCCCTCTCTCTCTCTCCCCCTCCCTCTTTCTCTCTCTCTCTCTTTCTCCACCTCCTCCCGACCCCCTTTCCCCTCTATTTCTATTGGCTTCTGTGTCCCTTGCTCCCCTCTTCTCTTCCTCACCCTGGGAAGCTTCTCCCCCCTATCCTTGCCCCTGCCCCCCCAGGATGTGTCCTGGAGATGGGGGGTGACGTACCAGGCTCTGGTTGGGAAGTCAGGGCCGGAGACCAGATGGGAGAGGCTCTGTGGACAGCCGTGGCCGAGGGCCTGGGAGGGAACCTGAGCCCGCAAGCGGTCTAGAAGTGGGTGCCTTGTGGGGACCCTAGTTAGGAGTGCCCTGGGGGCACCTGGGGACTGGGCAGGGAGAGGGGACAGCAGAATGATAACCAGCCTGGCGGCAAGGAGGGAAGCCCTCACCCCATGGGCAGGTAAGGAGGCTGGGGCCCGGATGATGTCCCGAAGGGTGGGGTCCTGGAAGCCCATCCTCTGCCCAGGATGAACTTGGGAGGCTGGGGCTGGGGAGGCAGAGGGTGGGGACTCCCAGGGAGGCAGGAGGGAGGCCTTCCTGTGACCTCCCGGTCGGCTGCAGGGGCAGGGGCGTTAGTCTCAGAATCTCGTGCCATGATTCTAGGATCTCGGAATCACAGAATCGCAGGCTGTCAGGGCTGGAGGGAGCCAGATGTATCATGTCGTTGGCTTCCCCAGCTCACGTGGCAGCTCTCCTGAGCTCCCCCTCCATACCCGGCACTGTGCTTGGCACGCCTCCGTTTAATCTCTGCAAACAACCCTGGGAGGTGGGTCCGCTTGTCTTCCATATGACGAAACTGAGGTGCAGCGGGGAGAAGTGACTTGCCCGAGGTCACACAGCAATTTGGCATCATCGCTGTGCAGCAGAGCCCAAGCCCCCAGCGCTGGGCCTGTAGGGTGTGCTCCTGGGATCAGGCCCCAGGCCTGGGGTGCCAGTGAGTCAGTCGGCACTGGCAAGCATAAGCCAGGTGTCTTTGGGGGGAAGGCCGAAGCATGTAGAGGACAAGCAGAGAGCCAGGGGCCATCGCCCTGCACTATTCAGGACTGTCATGGCCTTTGATCCTTCTCAGCCTGAGGCCTTCAGAGGAGCCAGTGTGGCCAGGAGGTACTGATGGTTTAGAAGTAGATAGAACTGGGTTCGAATTCTGGCTTCCCACTCTCCAGCTGGGTGACCCTTTGCAGCTTACTCAACCTCTCTGAGCCTCAACTTCTTCCTCTCTAAAAACTCTCCCTCTTGGGCTTCTTGAGGATCTCATGATGTGAGTCTGAGGCTTCCATCCGGGGACAATGTCCCACCTTGGAGCTCTCCTTGTTGAACGGCTTGGCTGTTCACATTTATGGCTGTTCTGGGTGATGTCCTAGGTTCTGGGGTTAAGAAATAAATCATTCAGGGCCCCTGCCTTCAAGAGCCAGTGTTCTAGCGGGTGGGAGATGGGCAAATGGAGAATGATTGGGGTGCCTGGCCTCCCTGAACTGTTAGGGCTGTGCGGCTCAGGACAGCCACTCACCCTCTCTGTGCTGTCTCCTCCTGAACAGTCCTCCAAGGAGTCCGCCCCCAGCTTTCAGGCAAGCTTGTGCCAAAGATAAACCAGACAGGGAGGAAAAGTCCCTCCTTCTCAAGGATGAACTAGATCATGCACAGGATTCCAGCTCTAAAGAAAAGACGGCACCTCAATTGCAGGTCTGGCTTACGTGCGTGGAAAGCTGTAATTTCCCTGCTTCTGCTGCCTGGGCCCCTCAAACTTTGACAGGGAAGACCGGCTGAGATAAGGGTGGAGACAGGGTTTTCCAGGAGGGGGCCAGGGGTTCTGGGAGGGGCGACTGCATGCCCTGGTACAAAGGAGGGTCTGGCTAGGCACGCCGTGTTCCTGCCAGGACCATGTGTGTGTCAGCGCATGCGCTTGTGGGTGCACAGACATGTGCTGGGCAGGCGTGGGGGTGGGGCAACCTCAGAGCTTACCCCCAGCGGGCTACCCCAGGGGCATATGTCCCTGAAGCCTGGAAATTAGGCCTGCCCAGCTCCTTGCTTCTCTCAGGAGCCTGGTGCTCCCCTCCCTCATCTAGCCCTGGCTTGTGATTGGCTGACCAGCAGGGATGCTATAAAGAGGATCTGTGCACAGCACAGGGCAGCAAGGTGGATGGTGACGCGGGTCCCCTACCAGGGAGGCAGGACTCTAAGGTTCCAGGTTGCACAATTCCAGGTCTAAGAAGGACTCATTCTAGCATTCTGGAATTCTAACATTCTCTGATTCAAGGATACTGAGTCTAAAATCCTATGGCTGTAAGATTCTCTGCCTGTTCTAAGAATTCAAAATTCTATTTTTAGATCTCTAAGGTCCATTAGGCTTTGAGTCCATGATCCTCATAGCTCAAAGCCCTGGGGGCAACTGGGAAAGCGGATGCCAGCTGGGCACTCAGGTGGGTGCCTTCCCAGGCCTGGCTTCAGTTTGCCAGCCTGTGGAATGGGCGTAGAGGTGGTCACTACAGATCTTTCCAGATTTGCCCCTTCCTAGCTGTGACCAGAACATGTGACCTCACGTTTGCTCCCCATCTGTGCAGTGGGGATGACAGTAGTGCCTCCCTCGTAGGACATCATAGGATACTGCAGCTCACCAGCTTAGCCTGGCACCTGGCACAGTCAGGGCTCAGTGATGAGCAGCTGGCAGCACTGTTAGGATCCTCTAGCCCACTGTCCAGGTGCCCCTCCCTTAGTGCTGCTGTCCCAGGCTCAGGAGACCTGATGAAGGGTTGGGGAGAAGGATGGGTTGAGGACAGGTTAGGGGATGACCCAGGCTCAGAATCCTTCTCTTCTCCCAGCCCCAAGAACAGGGAGGAGATGCTCTGAACCCAGCCAGCTGGAGAAGCCACGGCCTAGGGGTTCCTTGCTACCCTTGGCTTCACCCAGCCTGGCACTCTGAGCCCGCTGCAGCCCCAGGTCCTTGGGGCAGGGGTAGCCAGGCGTGCTCAGAGGCGTTTGTTTGGATTTGGGGTGCCTTCCCTTCCCAGGAGCTTTGCACATCAACAGTGACATCCATATAGGGCAGTGCGGACCACAGCTCCCATTGGAGGGAGGAAGTGCAGGCCCAGTGTCAGGGATATTAGAAGAAGGGCTTCTCCTCTGAGAGATTTATCTTCCCTTCAGGGTTTTCTGCAGGGAGAATCCAAGGACAGCCAGGAGCCAGGGGATTGGGGGATCATTAGGAAGAGGGGGTGCAGTGGGTGGTCCAGACCCCAGAGGAGGCTCCTGCATCCAGCCTGGCTCTGCCTGGGCCTCCTCCTGAGCGTGGCTTTCCTCAGTGGGGCCTGACATTCCCCCTTGGCACTGGGCTTGGTCCACTGAAGGCTTCTCTGGTTCATTTGATGCCTGACACTGAGGCAGAGCTCGTGCCTGTGCGGAAGTGATGGGGCAGAAAGCAATGGGGAGGGTCCAAAGCTGGCTGGAGACTCCACAGGGGAGGGGATCAGAGTCTCGCAGGGGAGCCCAGAGGAGCCCCAGCTTCTTCTGCGCAGGCATGGGATGAGAAAGACACTAAGAAAGCACCTGGAGTGCGGGGGGGCTCTTGCTTATGCTGCAAATCCCTTCTGAAAATGTCCCCTTTTCCAGGCAGCTGGCCCCTCCAGCCAGGGGGAGGGACTACTCTTGGATAGCATCTGCTAAGTGAATTGTAAAGTTCTCCAACCCCAGCCGGCCTCTGGGGAGAAGGGGCCTCAGCCACCTGCCCCCCAGGTTCACAGCCAACCTTCCTGGGCAGGGCCTTTGGGAGGGGCACAGTGGGATGGCCCAGGCTGAGGGGGCACCTAAGGACTCTGACTCCCAGGGGAGGGGACACCCCAAGCCTGTGGTTCTTAACTCCATTTGGAACCTGAAGAATCTGATAACAGATCTGACATTAACCTTCACCTGGAGTTTAGGGCGTTCATGGATCCTCTGAAGTTCATCTAGGGAGCAGGTTTCCAGGTGAAGGTCCTGTGATATGAAGCAGTGTTTTTCAGATGTGAGGGCGAGACCTGTTGGTGGCAATGCAACCCACTTCACAGGGCCCTGCCAGCTGGGGCCTCACATGTAGAAAGGAAGGGCAGGTATTTGTTGGTGAAACAGTATGACTTCATGCCACACACCACACCCTCACTCCACGATGGAGAATGATCACCTCACCTCCCTGAGCCTCAGTTTCCTCATCTGAGAAAAGGGGATAACACGACTCAGCCTTGCGGGGCTGTGCGGGGTGAATGAGATGGTGCGTGCTAAGCACCTCCCATCTTCTGAAATCTCTCAGACGATGGGAGGATGGGCGTGCAGCAGGTCCCCAGGTTCGGCATGATGGGAGGGGGCAGCACAGAGAAAGCCATTCTCTGCTGTGACCGAGCTGTTTTTCCTTCCCCCAGGCAAATAGCTGACTGCTGACCACCCTCCCCTCAGCCATGGACATGCTTCATCCATCATCGGTGTCCACGACCTCAGAACCTGAGAATGCCTCCTCGGCCTGGCCCCCAGATGCCACCCTGGGCAACGTGTCGGCGGGCCCAAGCCCGGCAGGGCTGGCCGTCAGTGGCGTTCTGATCCCCCTGGTCTACCTGGTGGTGTGCGTGGTGGGCCTGCTGGGTAACTCGCTGGTCATCTATGTGGTCCTGCGGCACACGGCCAGCCCTTCAGTCACCAACGTCTACATCCTCAACCTGGCGCTGGCCGACGAGCTCTTCATGCTGGGGCTGCCCTTCCTGGCCGCCCAGAACGCCCTGTCCTACTGGCCCTTCGGCTCCCTCATGTGCCGCCTGGTCATGGCGGTGGATGGCATCAACCAGTTCACCAGCATATTCTGCCTGACTGTCATGAGCGTGGACCGCTACCTGGCCGTGGTACATCCCACCCGCTCGGCCCGCTGGCGCACAGCTCCGGTGGCCCGCACGGTCAGCGCGGCTGTGTGGGTGGCCTCAGCCGTGGTGGTGCTGCCCGTGGTGGTCTTCTCGGGAGTGCCCCGCGGCATGAGCACCTGCCACATGCAGTGGCCCGAGCCGGCGGCGGCCTGGCGAGCCGGCTTCATCATCTACACGGCCGCACTGGGCTTCTTCGGGCCGCTGCTGGTCATCTGCCTCTGCTACCTGCTCATCGTGGTGAAGGTGCGCTCAGCTGGGCGCCGGGTGTGGGCACCCTCGTGCCAGCGGCGGCGGCGCTCCGAACGCAGGGTCACGCGCATGGTGGTGGCCGTGGTGGCGCTCTTCGTGCTCTGCTGGATGCCCTTCTACGTGCTCAACATCGTCAACGTGGTGTGCCCACTGCCCGAGGAGCCTGCCTTCTTTGGGCTCTACTTCCTGGTGGTGGCGCTGCCCTATGCCAACAGCTGTGCCAACCCCATCCTTTATGGCTTCCTCTCCTACCGCTTCAAGCAGGGCTTCCGCAGGGTCCTGCTGCGGCCCTCCCGCCGTGTGCGCAGCCAGGAGCCCACTGTGGGGCCCCCGGAGAAGACTGAGGAGGAGGATGAGGAGGAGGAGGATGGGGAGGAGAGCAGGGAGGGGGGCAAGGGGAAGGAGATGAACGGCCGGGTCAGCCAGATCACGCAGCCTGGCACCAGCGGGCAGGAGCGGCCGCCCAGCAGAGTGGCCAGCAAGGAGCAGCAGCTCCTACCCCAAGAGGCTTCCACTGGGGAGAAGTCCAGCACGATGCGCATCAGCTACCTGTAGGGGCCTGGGGAAAGCCAGGATGGCCCGAGGAAGAGGCAGAAGCCGTGGGTGTGCCTAGGGCCTACTTCCCAAGGTGCCACAGGCCCATGATGGGATGTTGAGGGGCCTGGACTTTGATGCTATTGCTGCCAGGTCTTGCTGTGTGACCTTGGGTAGGTTGCTTCTACTCTCTGGGCCTTGTTTTCTCCTCTGTGACTCAGGGATAGGAGTCATCAGCCTGGATGAGCTATGTCAGATGAGAGGTTTGGAGGGCACTGTTGCTGGGCTGACCTGGCTGAGCAGGCAAAAGGTGGGTGCAGACTGGCCTCCCCCCAGGGATGGAGTGTCTTGGGGCATCAACTAGAATCTTGGCCCTCAGAGGGATAAACCAAGGCCAGGATTTCTTGGGCTCAGAGTCAGGAACACAGGAGCTGCTGGGGGCTGGGCTGGAAACCTAAACAGAAGAAAGCCTAACCCGGTGGGAGGAGTGGGGCAGAAATGGTCAGGCCCCAGATCAGCTCCCTCCCCTCGACTGTGAGGCCTTGGACCAGCTCTGCTCCTCTCTAGGCCTCAGGCTTCACCTGGGTAAAACCCAACAACCTCTACACCCTTTTGGCCCAGGCAGTCAATGCTGGAGGTCCTGTGCTCCTGGACGGGAAGAGCAGGTGAATTTCCTGCTCATGGAAGCGAATGAAGTCCAGCTTCAGGGTCTCTCACTGCCTGGGCTTTTGCAAGGCCCTGCATCTACTTTTGTACTTGTCATTTTGTATTCGTTTTCTTAAAGAGGGACCTCGAACTGCATAAGCTTAGGCCACCCAAAGCCTGGCTCTGCCCCTGCTGAGGTCAGCCACCCAATCCCCAAGGAAGCTCATGTTGGGTCTTATGGCTGGAGTAGGGGCCCCCGGGGGTTCCCAGGTCTTTTGAGGGCTTCCAGGCACCTCCTTGTAGGAAGGGCCATCCCTGTTCCTCTCCTTGTGACCCATATTCTCCCTTCCTGGAGACCGAGACAGGGACCCAGCCCATGAGGACTGGCATGGAAAGGCAGAGTGTCTGAAGAGCGCTGTGAGGAGAAGGAAGAGGAAGGGAGAAGAGGAAGAGGAAGGAGAAGGAAGAGGAAGACAAGGGGGAAAGGGGAGGATGAGGAGGGGGAAGGAGAAGTACAGATCTGTTTCCTGGAGCCGTCTTTGGCCCCCCTGGGCTGAGCTCAGTGGTAGCATCTGTGAACCTGAGTTGCCGACAACAGCCCCACCCAACCAGTACTGAGGGAAGGACACGATCAGGGTGGAACAGCCAGGGTGCAATGGCAAATGCACAGAGTACAGACAGGCACAGGGCCTGCGTCCCTGAGGGGCCTCAGAGTGCTGCCAAGAGGGCTCAGGCCTTAATAAAGCCCTAGGGTGGAGCTGGCTACCAGGGACATTGGGAGGACTGGGGAGCTCCCTCCCCATGCTCTATCATCCTGGAGACTACAGGTCGGGAGGCCCAGGGAAGACAAGAAGAGGCTGAAGTGGGACTGTGGAGGGGGACCATGGGGAGCAGCCACCATCCAAGGCTGGGCCTAGACTCCCTCCCAGAGATGGTCCCTCAGAGCTGTGGTGAGGCTGGCCCTGGGAGGGTGAGACCCCCGGTGAAATCCTTCCGCTTCCCCACCCCTTGCAGAGGGCAGGGGTCCTCAGGGAAAGCACAGGAACCAGACTTTTGGAGACTTGGATCTTCAGCACACCTCAGGGTCCTGGGCTGGCATTGGCCTTCCGGGCCTCAATTTCCCCATCAACAAATGGAGATGAATCCCAGCTTGGCTGCCTCCTGGGATCTAACGAGAAAATGAGTCATGTGAGGTAACTTCCAGGCTCACTGCAATGGGTACGGTGGGGTGTATCAGATTATAAAGTGGGGGTGCCCTCCTCACCCCCAGGCTTGGCCTATACCCCCCTCTCCATCAAGTGGCCTCTCTGTGTCTGTCCTTTGGGGTGAGGACACTGTAGGCCATGAGAAATGGGCAGTTGGGGGGTCAGAGGCCAAGGGTTAGGGAGGCAGGGCTTGGGGAGAGTGTGGGACCATCAGAAGAGAAGGAAGTTTACAAAACCACATTTTGTGTGGAGATGGAGGCTGGAGGCCCGGCCCTGGGACTTGGTCTGGGGTTTCTTGAGGAAGATCTGAGGGTCCAAGGGAGGAAGGATGCCCTGGCCTTCTGGCCTTCTCTGGCTGATCCTGCCTTCTTGCTGCCTAGGACAGGAGAGTAATGTCCTAGAATGGTCCCTGGGAGGCCAGTTAGGAAACCCTTTGCTGCTTCTGTCTCTAGCTCTTGTCAATAAAGACGGTGACACCTGATAACAGCTGTGGCCTGGGCCAATTTCTCCGCCAGACACTGTGTCCTGATGGGTGTGAATGTGTAGGTGTGTGTGGGCTCCGTGCACCCTGGCCTGTTCGGGTGTGACCTCCCAGAGTCCAGGTCCTTCAGGGAACATGGAAGATACCCTTGATGGGGCTGAGCCCACATCCTTATAGACCTTGATCCAAAAGCAGTAGATGTCCTTTCTCCCTATTATCCAAATAGCAGATTTCAGGGAAGAAAGTGGATTGGCTCCAACTAGGTCACATGATGGTCCCTTGGGCCAATCACCAAAGACGTGGTGATAGGGTGCCATGGTTGGCCAGGTGCGGGTCATGTGCCTACATTTCCAGCCAGAGAGAAGGTAGGGCACTGTGATGGACACTCTGGCCTGGCCTGTGGGGCAGGGGTGGGTCAGGGACAGCCTACTAATGGCTAGGGGAGGTGGGCCAGGCACCAGCAACCAACAACATGCGGGTCTGGGTGTGTGTGGGGTTTGCTGTGTGTGGCTGCCTTTGCTGGGTGTGATATTGTGTGTCCAGGTTTGTGTGAGCCCAGTGCAGGGTGCACAGTAGGTGGTCGGGACATCTTAGCTGCGTCCGTGAGTGAATGGGCACTGAGGTGTGACATGCGGCCGGTGTGCAAGTGGTGGGAGTGGAGGAACTGCTGGGGCCCCAGCGTTGGGTGGGAGTGGCTGCCTGGGTAGGGTCCCTCACCTAGCCCCGGCAGCCCTTGCTTCCCCACCACACTGGGTGTCCCCGCCTGTGCATGCTCACGTGCAGCCTGTGTGTGCATGTGCTTGTCCCCCCACACACGTGTGTCTGGCAGCCTTGCGTTCCCCGGGCCTGGCAGTGCTGCCGTGGCCTTTCTTAGGAGTATCTGGAATGAATGAACAAAGGGGGCCACTGCATGTCACAACTGCAGGGGGTACTGTACACGCTGTTCCTGTAACCTCCTGTGAAGCTACAGCATGGTGCCTCTGAATAAATGAGTGATAAGGGGCAGGGGTACTGAAGGAGCTTGTATGGGGTTGGGGCTAGAATCTGTGGGTTAGGGGAGCCATTGGGGCTGTAGGGTGAGGGGAGGCTCTGCAGTTGTGAGCAGGAGCAGGGAGGGAGGAGTGATGATAACGCACCTTGCCCACTCCTCTCCTCCTCCTCCAGCCATTGAAGTTGCTCAGACCAGAGGCTTTACCTTGAACTTGTCTCTCCGAGGCGGTTGCCAGGCAACAGCCCTTGGCCACCAGGCTCTGGACCAGGACTTCCTGCATCAGCATCAGCATTATCAGAGGGGAGCTGGGAACCCGCAGGGCCTGGGGCAGGAAAGACCACGGCCCCCAGATCTTTGGGATCCTCTTTACCTAGAAGCGATGGGGCAGGTGAGGCCACTGACCCATGGGAGTTGACAGCTGGACTCCACAGGACTCCACACAGAAGAAAACACAGCGAGCGGTCGGGCTCAAGCCTGTAATCCCAGCACTTTGGGGGGCCGAGGTGGGCAGATTGCTTGAGCTCAGGAGTTCGAGATCAGCCTGGGCAACATGGTGGAACCCCGTCTCTACCAAAAATACAAAAATTAACCAGGCATGGTGGTGCATGTCTGTGATTCCAGCTACTTGGGAGGCTGAGGTGGGAGGATCGCTTGAGCCCGGGAGGCAGAGGTTGCAGTGAGCCGAGATTGTGCCACTGCACTCCAGCCTGGATGACAGAGGGAGACCCTATCTCAAAAACAAAACCCCAAACCAAAAAAACCCACCCAAAACAAAAAAAACACGGCGAGAAGGCCAGGCTGTAGTGTGAGGGGCACCCCCTGGAGGTGTGCAAGGCCACCATCCCTCCAAGGCCTCAGGGTACTCCCTGTCTCTGGCAGGCCCTGCTGAGCATCTCAGCAAGTCCACTGGAGGGCTGAGGGAGAAATGTCTCCCTGAAAGTCATGGGGCCAAAGTCAGCAGGCCTGGGCCCTATGTCTCCCGCAGCAAACCTACTGTGTGGCCTTGGGCCATTTATTTCACCTCTGGATGTGGTTCACTTAGCTAACAAAGGCTTTTCTGAGCACCAGCTGTATGCAAGGTCCTGACATGCGGCTGGGGGCCAGTGCAGGCAAATGGACAGGGGTCCCGCACTCTCAGCACTCACAGGCAACCACACAAGGAAGTGTAGCCCTATTTTGGGGGCTCAGTGGGGAGGGAGAAGTGCAGTGTGCTCTGGGAGAGCACTAGGAGGGTTGGGGGCTGGTGGGAGCTGCATCTAGAGTGGAAGTTTCAGCCTAAGTGTGCCAGGCAGAGGTATCTGCACGTGCTAAGGCCCTGAGCTGGAGGAAGGCAGTGAGTGAAAGGAAGAAAGGTAGCAAAGAGGCCCCTTTTTAGGGACAGAGAATGTGTCACACAGGGCTTCCTAGGGCATCCATTCCTGTTAAGGCTGAATTCTGTCCCCCTCTAAATTTCTATGTTGAAGTCCTAACCTCCAGAGCCTCAGAATGTGACCTGATATTTGGAAATGGGGTCATCACAGTTGTAGGTAGTGAAGAGGTCATACTGGAGCAGGGATGGCCCCTAATCCAATACGACTGGTGTCCCTAAGAAGCGGGGAGGCCAGGCACGGTGGCTCATGCCTGTAATCGCAGCACTTTGGGAGGCTGAGGCGGGTGGATCACCTGAGGTCAGGAGTTTGAGGCCACCCTGGTCAACATGGTGAAACCCCATCTTTACTAAAAATACAAAAATTAGTCAGGCATAGTGGCATGCGCCTCTAATCCCAGCTGCTAGCTAGGGAGGTTGAGGCAGGAGAATCACCTGAATCTGGGAGGCAGAGGTTGCAGTGAGCTGAGATCACGCCACCGCACTCCAGTCTGGGCAACAGAGCAAAACTCCATCTCAAAAAAAAAAAAAAAAAAAAAAAAAGTGGAGATTCAGACACAGACAGGCACCCAGGAGGGAGACGCCATGTGAACATGAAGGTAAAGATCAAACAAGGCATCCGCAAGCCAAGGAACGCCAACGATTACCAGCGCAGCAGAAGCTAGGAGCAGGCCTGAAACAGCTCTTCCTTCCCTTGCAGCCCTCAGAAGGAACTAGCCCTGCTGAGGCCAAGCCTGGACTTCTACCCCCAGAACTGTGAGACAATCAGTTTCTGTTGTTTAAGTCTTCCCAGTATGTGGTGCTTTGTTAAAGCAGGCCTAGCAAACTCAAAATTCCTACTTGCAAAATGGAGATAATGGCCCCTTCTCTCCTGGGTCTCCCAGAGGACCTGTTGGGTTAACCCATTCATTCCTTCAAACTCTCCAACAAGGTCCAGAGCTTGGTGGCCAAGGGCTGTTTTGGGTCTGAGCCAGATCCAAAACACAGTTCCTAGTCCAGGGCCCATAGTTTAAAAACAAAACTATGAAAATGGGGGCTGAGTGGACGGGAGTGATGCTGGGCGTGGGGAGAGCTCTGAGGCCACTGGTGTCCCTGGTGGCCATGGCAGACAACACCCTCTGGGAAGACCCAACAGGCAGAGGGCAGCCCAGGCCCCATGGGGACCTTGGTTCCTCCCCAGAATCCCAGCAGGCCTCCAGCAAACCTCACAGCAGCGTGCACCACACTGAGGGGTGAATGACGGGCACACATGAGTGCACACCTGTGTGTGGAGGGTGAGACAAACCTTCATTTTCTCATAGGCTCAAAAAAAGTGCCTGGGCCGGCTGGGCGCGGTGACTCACGCCTGTAATCCCAGCACTTTGGGAGGCCGAGGCGGGCGGATCACGAGGTCAGGAGATCGAGACCATCCTGGCTAACATGGTGAAACCTCGTCTCTACTAAAAATACAAAAAAATTAGCTGGGCTTGATGGTGGCACGTGCCTGTAGTCCCAGCTACTCGGGAGGCTGAGGCAGGAGAATCGCTTGAACCCAGGAGGCGGAGGTTGCAGTCATCGGAGAACATACCACTGCACTCTAGTCTGGGTGACAGAGCGAGACTCCATCTTAAAAAAAAAAAAAAAAAAAGGTGCCTGGGCCACACTCAGGGTCCCCTGGGGTCCCAGACACCTCAGGTTCTGGCTCACACTCTCCTGGAACCCACATCCTCTGTCACCATCTTACAGGTGGAGAAACTGAGGCCTACGGTGGGGTGGGGTGTATCGGATCCTAGCAGGGGAAGAGCTGGGATGTGGCCTCTCCACCCTCCTGTCCGCTTTAAAGGCCAGCAAATGTGTCAATATTTGCTCAGGGGAACTGCTGGCTCAACAGGCCCCAGAGCCTGCCTGGTGTCTCCCTCTGTAAGATCAGGGGTTGCCTCTGAGCTCCAGCCAGGACCCTGCGCCTGCTCTTCAGAAGGGAGGGGCTCTCCCTGTTGGGCCTTATCAAACGGCAGCTGCCAGAGGGAGAACGGAACAAACGCACGATGCCCATTACGTGGTCGGCAGTGAAAGGTGAGCTCCTGGCCACGCAATCGGGTTTGAACCCCAGCGCCACTGCCTCTTAGCGCTGAGTGCCTTTGAGCCAGCCTCAGAACCTCTCGTAGACTCAGTTTCCTCATCCGAAAAAATGGGCTCCCACGCCCATCTCAAAAGCCTGTCGCAGGGCTGCGGGGACGGCTGGAGCGTGGCTCTGTGCTCCCCAGGCCCGGCAGGGGGCGCCGCGGGTCCTCAGGCCTCGCCCAGTAGCCGCGTGGTATCCGACCCGCAGCTCCGCTCGGCTGGACTCGTCTCTATTCGGCGACCCTTGGCTCCACTCGGCCAGGCTCGGCTCTACTCGGCTGTATTCGGCAGCACTCGGCCAGACTCGGCCTTGTTCCGATCTGCTCGGCTTCGCCCTACGCCGGAAGTGCAAAGGCAGTTTCCCGGCGCGGCTGTGGCTCCGCCCTCCGGGCGCGAGGCCCGGGTGGGCCAGAGAGGCAGGTCCTCGTCCCTCGGGCCCGTGGCGCTGTCGTGGATGTAGGGGTTCCGCTTGCCTGGGCCCTGGGCTATGCAGAGGGAGACACGAACCAGGGTTTGAGGGGGAAGCGGGTGGAGAGGGAGGGGCTCCCCGAGCCTGGCGTGGGGGCGTCTTTCGCCTTCGTTTTGCAGGGAGAAAGGGAGAGGTTGGCGCCAGCCGCACGCCCCAGCAGGCAGGCTCTGCCACTGTTCTGTCGTGTCGGGGGAGGAAGTTGCTGCCCCTCAGTGTCCCTGAGTCTCGGTTTCCCCTCCAACAATCAGCAGGTTTCCCGCCGGGGCAGAGGGCCTGGCGCGGAGCTGGCGCTCTCCAGACTCAGTTTCCCCTTTTGTAAAACATGACAGCCCGCCCAACTCCGCTGAACACCTTTGGGATCCGACGTCCTGAAAGCCCAGGACGGGGAACCTGGTTCCGGAGAGCGAAACTTTCCCCGGCCCCTGGGCGGTTCAACGTGGGGGAGTCGGTAGAACCAGGCCCGGGGCTCTCCTCGTGGGAGGAAGCCGGTTTGTGTGTGGGGGGTGGGGGTTGCTGCGGGGACTGCGGGGGTTTGGAGGAAGAAGCGAGTGCATGGGCGCCCTGGCCTGCCCCAAAGTTCCCTGAGGGGACGGGCTGGTGGGACGGGCGGGGGCCGGGGACCGGGGAGCGGGGAGCGTCCCGGGTTCCCGGGCGCGGGGGCTCTGCCCAGCAGGAGGCGCTCGCGTCTTCCTTTGTTGAAATTGATCTCTGCGCTTGAACAGTTAGATCTGTGACTTGCCACTCAGAGCCTACATAGCGGACGCCAGGAATCATGTTTACTGTCCTGTCTCCCTTTTTGACAGGCACACATTTTATTTTTTAAATACATGAAGCGCGCCGTGCTTTGTAAGCGCTGACTGAATGTGCCTATTTTCACACCCTCTCCTGACCCTGGGCTGGAACGTGGGCGAGTGCAGGATGGTGGCCAGGGGCTTGGCTCTTGGTCAGTATGTGCCTCATCTATCTCGTCTGTAAAATGGACAGACGAGGTAACACGTGTGCCTACGTCAGAGCATTGTTGGAAGGATTAGAGGAGTCAAGATATGGAAGGCCCACAGAATGGTTGGGGAGAAAAGCCAGCTTCTGGAGGCAGGGGAAAGGGTGGGGAGTGGCTGGGGAAGCAGGGCCTGTACCCTGGGTTTCTGCATTGGGGTTACTCCTTTGCTGCTGGGAGTGATAGCAGGGTGATGAGAGCCACCCTGGGCCTGCGCTCCTCCTGGTCATGCTGTTGTCCTGGGTCCCAGGGTGCCTGGGAAAGGGCACACAGCTTTACTGATGGGTGGCCAGTGGGGAGTGCCCCCATCGGGCATTCCACCAGTCGGCCCCGATGGTCCTGGCCTCCTCATGTTTATCTGGCCCAGGGACACCAAGGCTCAGAGAGGTAAACTTGCCCGAGGTCACACAGCTAGGAGGGGGAGCTGAGTCATCACCCAGGTTTGTCTGCCCCAGGGCTGGAGCTCTGTTTTCAGGCCACCTGACCAGCTGAGGAGATCGTCAGAAAGGCTGGGACACCAACGGATGACGCACAAATGGAGGAATTTTCAGGCACGGTCAAAGCTAATGGGAGGGAAAATACTGAAGTGTAATATTCCAGAGTTCTCTCTTGTCTGCTCTGACTCCTGCCAGCTGCCCTGCACCTAGAGGGACAGGAGGCTCTTCTCCGGGGCATTGCATGGCCGGGAGCCAAATGAGCTGGCACCAGAACCTGGTGAGTTGCCTGGCTTTTCAGACCTCAGCCTCCTCACCTGTGAAGTGGGTTGAACAGCTCTTCTCTGCAGAGGAGCTGTTGAGGGCGGTATGGAACACTGCCAGGCACACAGTTGGCCCTTGACAAAACCATTGCTGTGTCCCCAGCCTGTTTCTCCCCAAGTCCCATTGATGGTTCTCTCTATCCCTGTTTCCTCAGAAGGTCAGGTTTTCTAAGCCCGAAGGCTTGGAGCCAGGCAGGAGCTGTCTCCCTCTCCAGTGCTGCCGACTCAACCCTTTTCCCTTAGAAGCAGGGAGGGAGGCTCCCCTTGGCTCCCTCCCTCTGCAGCCCTGGCTCTGCGCCCTGGGAATGCTGCCTGGGGCAGGGCCACGTAGAGAGCAGGGCCAGTGCAGGCCTTTGGGTGTTCCCAGTGGCCAAAGTCCTTTAGTCTGCTTTCCTTTGGGCCCCCTTGCACCCCTGAATGGATGACCTGGGGGATTCCAAGTCGGTTTGGGAGGGGTGACAGCACAAGGCTGGAGGTTGGGAGAGTCTGGCTGTCATCCCAGCTTGGATTGTAGTCTGCCATGTGACCTTTGGGCCAAAGATAAATCCTCCCTGGGCCACAGTGTCCCTGCTGGTCAGATGAAAGAATCAGATGAGATCATTTCTGAGGATCTTTCCAGGCTTCATATTCTTCTGTTTGATTATCCCCCCAAATAAATTGGAAATTGGAGGCCCAAGGATGAGCCCTGGTTGAGGACGCAGAGCCCAGGGGCCGTCCCATCCTCCACACTTGGCCCAGCTGTGAGTGGGGGAATGGGATTTAGCACCTGAAGCCCCAGATTTAAATATATCCCCACTCCCCGCCGGGGTCCCCGCACTCCTGCACCTCCCTCCTCCCAGGACGGCCCTGACCTGCAGGCATTGTTCCCCGCCCATGCCCAAGCCCCGAGGGAATTCCATCGGGTTGGAGAGTCTTCCCTTCTGTAGGGGGCTTTGCTCCTCTCTACCAGTTATGTGACCTTGGGCAAGTCACTTCAGCTGCCTGACCCCAGCTCCCTAGGACTAGTTGAAGTAATGGATATAAACACCCTTTGGGGACCAAAAGCCCCTAGAGAGATGAGACCTGGCCCAGGCAGTAAGTCTTCAACAAATGTAGAATAGGAGGATGCTGTAAACAAGCCAGCCAAAACCCACCAAATCCCTTGGTGGAGGATAAGGGACATTTGAGACAGTCTTTATACAGGAGTCTCGGGCCCCAGGAAGCCAGGGCAGAGAGTCTTTGCCAAACTTCCCCCTGCCTAACAAGAAGGAAACTGAGGCAGGACCCTGCCAGACCCAGAGGCAAACAGGCTGCCCTCCTGTGAACTTGTTGGGGGTCATTTCCACAAGGGAATAGTTCTAGAAGACCAGGGTGAGTCAGTAACAATGGCAGAATTCCAGTCAGAGGAAGAAGACTTTGGTGTAGCTGGGGCTGGAGCATAGAGGAGCGACTTGGCTGCCGCCCTGGCCCTGTGTCAGAGGTGTTAGAACCAGAGCCACTCCATCTTGAGTAGGAGCTGGGTAAAATAGGGCTGAGACCTGCTGGGCTGCATTCCCAGGAGGTTAGGCATTTTTAGTCACAGGATGAGATGGGAGTCGGCAGGACTGGTATCATAAGATACAGGTCATAAATACCCTGCTGATAAACAGGATGCGCTAAACAAGCCGGCCAAAACACACCAAATCCAAGATGGTGATGAAAGTGATCTCTGGTCATCCTCACTGCTCATTATACACTAATTATAATGCATTAGCATGCTAAAAGACACTCCCACCAGCACCATGACAATTTACAAATGCCATGGCAATGTCCAGAAATTACCTTATACGGTCTAAAAGCGGGAGGAACTCTCAGTTCTGGGGAAATCTCCCCTTTCTTGGAAAACTGATTAATAATCCACCCTTTGTTTAGCATATAATCAAGAAATAACCATAAAAACAGCCAACCAGCAGCGCTCAGGGGTGGTCTGTCTATGGAGTAGCCATTCTTTTGTTTCTTTACTTCTCTGTAAACTTGCTTTGACTTCACTCTGTGGACTCACCTCAAATTCTTTCTTGTGCGAGTCCAGGAACCCTCTCTTTGGGTCTGGATTGGGACCCCTTTCCAGTACCATTTTTTCTAGTGAACCACGAAGGGACGATACCAGAAAACACCCTCAACCCAAAGGAAATAGACTACAGCCCCAATTGGCTGACTTTGGGTAAGTGAGGGATATTTTATTCTGGGTAATGTATGGATTTGGGTTAGGTTCCCTCCTCAGAAATAGGGGGTTAAAGGCCCCTCTTAGTGAAGGGCAAAGATGCTTATCAGAAATTGGGTTAGAGGCCCAAATGAAGAAGGTTGGAGTCCTTAGGGAGTTAGAGGTCCCCCTCGGTCATGTCCCTTGGTAAGGAGAAATGGATTAGGCACTATGGGATATTAACCACTATTCTCTTTTCATTAATCTGCCTTGCACTGTTTGCTGACAGCTGTGAGTGACAGGATTAGGCACGTACAGGATCATGGGACATGGGGAGCTTTCTTCTCCCCAAAGGGGGAAACTTTAGAGATGATGAGATTGCTGGAAAAGATACCTTTGCTACTGACAAGCGACCTCCTGAACTATTGATCCAGTGTCAATGGAATGGAGGCCTCTGGCCTCCCTGAGCTCCTCAGCTTCTCCACCCCCCGGCAGGCAATGCTTTTCTTCCTCTCTCCTTTCTCTTTTCTATCTTTTCTGTCACTCAGGGTGACTCTCCACTCTTCCATCTTGCCCAGCTACCATATGTTGAAACTTCTGGTTGGAGGGCATTCCACCTCACTTGGAGTGGATCAAAGATGACAAGGGCCATCGGGAGCAAGTTTGAGCCTTGCCAGGTTGATGTTGGGCACTGAGTGGGGTGGCTAGTCTCCTGGAATGGAAAATGTTAATTTGGTTTCCCCATGCAGCCTGTTGGACAGCATCTTACAAAATTAAGAGGCTTTTGCCTGTGGTTCCATGAAATGGAAAAAGACGATTTTCTTTTGTAACGTGTCTTGGCCCCCATAGCAATGGCACAGTAAGCAGGGCCATCAAAGCCACAGAGAGAAAGGGAACCCAGAAACCTGGCATGCTGGCAAAGGGTAAGAATTTCTTACCAGTCAGGCTTCTGGCCTCTCTTGGTGCAAACTGGTTGAATAAATGATAAA